>NC_000003.12:89706969-90010000 GCF_000001405.40 Homo sapiens
TGATTGACCACTAGTGAGATTAAACAAGAAAAGAAGGGGGACCATCCAAATAAACTCAATTAGAAATGAAACTGTAGATATTACAACTGATACCACAGAAATAAAAAAGATCATTTGAGGTACTATGAATACCTTTATGTACACAAACTAAAAAATCTAAAGGAAATGCATAAATTCCTGGACTGCATGGATTCACAGCTGGAATTTACCAGACATTCAGAGGAGAATTGATACCAATCCTACAGAAACTATTCCAACAAATAGAGAAAGACGGAATCCTCCCTAAATTATTCTATGAAGCTAGTATCATGCTAATAACAAAACCAGAAAAGGACATAACAAAAAAAGAAAACTACAGACCAATATTTCCTATGAATATTGATGCAAAAATCCTCAACAAAATACTAACTAACCAATTCCAACACCATATCCACATCATGATCAAGTGGATTTCATACCACAAATGCTGGGATGATTTAACACATACAAGTCAATAAATGTGATACATCACATAAGCAGAATTAAAAACAAAATGATACAATCATCTCAATAGATGCAGAAAAAGCATTTGACAAAATCCAGCATCACTTTATAATAAAAATCCATAACAAAATTGGCATAAAGGGACATACCTAAAGTAATAAAAGCTATACATGACAAACCCACAGCCTACATCATACTGAATAGGAAAAATTTGATAGCATTCCACATGAGAACTGGAACAAAATAAGGATATTCACTTTCACCATGTCTATTCAAAATAGTACTTGATGTCCTGCCAAAGCAGTCAGACAAGAGAAAGAAATAAAGGGCATCCAAATTGGAAAAGAGAAAGTCAAACCATCACTGGTTACAAATGATATGATAGTATGCCTAGAAAAATCCTAAGGCTCCTAGATCTGATGAATGAATTCAGTATAGTCTCAGGTTTCAAAATCAATGTGCACAAATCAGTAGCTTGGCTATACATCAACAATGACTAAGCTGAGAATCCAATCACGAACACAATTGTTTTTACCATAGCTGCAAAAAATAAAATAAAATTCTTGAGTATATGCCTAATCAAGGAGGTGAAAGATCTTTACAAGGAAAACTATAAAACATTGCTAAAAGTAATCATAGATGACACAAACAAGTGGAAACACGTCCTATGCTCCTGGATGGGAAGAAACAAAATTGTGAAAATGGCCATACTGCCAAAAGCAATCTAAAGACTGAATGCAAATCCAATCAAAATATCATCATCATTCTTCACAGAACCAAAAACAAAACAAAACAAAACAAACAAACAAACAAACAAAAAAAACGCTAAGATTCATATGGAACCAAAAAAGAGCCTGCATAGCCAAAGCAATACTAAGCAAAAAGAATATATCTGGAGGCATCATATTACCTGACATCAAATTATGCTAGAAGCCTATAATTACCAAAACAGCATGGTACTGGTATAAAAATAGACACATAGACCAATGCAACAGAATAGAGAACCCAGAAATAAAGTCAAATACATACAGCTAACTGATCTTTAACAAAGCACACAAAAACATAACTTGGGGAAAGGACACCCTACTCAATCAGTGGTGCTGGGAAAACTGGGTAGCCACAATAGAAGAATGAAACTGGATCCTCATCTCTCACCTTATACAAAAATCAAACCAAGATGGATCAAAGACTTAAATCTAAGACATGAAACCATAAAACTCTAGAAGATAACATCAGAAAAACCCTTCTAAACATTGGCTTAGGTCAAAGACTTCATTACCAAGAACCCAAAAGCAAATACAATAAAACAGAGATAAATAGATGGGACTTAATTAAACTAAAAAGCATCTGCACAGCAAAAGAAATAATCAGCAGAGAAAATAGACAACCCACAGAATGGGAGAAAATCTTTGCAAACTGTGCATCTGACAAAGGACTAATATCCAGAATTTACAGGGAACTCAAATCAGCAAGAAAAAAACAATCCCATCAAAAAGTGGGCTAAGTACATGAATAGACAATTCTCAAAAGAATATATATATATTATATATATCTTATATATAATATATATATAAGATATATATAATATATATATATCTCGCTAGCAAATATATGAAAAAATGCTTAACATCACTAATCATCAGGGAAATGCAAGTTAAAACCACAATGAGATACCACTTTACTCCTATAAGAATGTCCATAATTAAAAAATCAAAAAACAATGGATGATAGAGTGGATGTGGTGAAAAGGGAACACTTTACTCTGCTGGTGCAAATGTAAATCCGTGAAACCACTGTGGAAAACCGTATGGAGCTTTCTTAAATAACTAAAAGTAGAACTACCGTTCAGTTCAGCAATTCTCACTACTGGGTATCTACCAAAAGGAAAAGAAGTCATTATATGAAAAAGACACTTGCACACACATGTTTATGGTAGCATAATTCACAATTGCAAAGATATGGAACCAACCTAAGTGCCCATCAACCGAGGAGTGAATAAAGCAAATGTGCTATATATACACCATGGCCTATTACTCAGCCATTAAATAAATAAAATAATGTCTTTTGCAGCAGCATGGATGGAGCTGGAGGCCATTAGCCTAAGTGAAGTAACTCAGAAATGGAAAGCCAAATATTATATATTCTCACTTATAAGTGGGAGCTAAGCTATGAAGGCACAAAGGCATAAAAATGATATAATGGACTTTGAGGAATCAGTGGTGAGGGGAAGGTTGGGAAGGAAGTGAAAAATAAAATACTACATATCGGGCACGGTGTATGCTGCTTGGGTGACAGGTGCACTAAAATCTCAGAATTCACCACTGAAGAATGTATCCATGGGCTGGGCAAGGTGGCTGAGGCCTATAATACCAGCACTTTAGGAGGCTGAAGCAGGCAGATCACTTGAGTTCAGGAATTCAAGACCAGCCTGGCCAACATGGTGAAACCCCATTTGTACTAAAAATACAAAAAACATTATCTGGGTGTGGTGTCACACACCTGCAATCACAGCTACTCCGGAGCCTGAAGCACAAGAGTCACTTGAATCCAGGAGGTGGAGGTTTCAGTGAGCCGAGATGGTACTACTGCACTCCAGCCTGGGTGACAGAGTGAGACTCTTGTCTCAAAAAAAAAAAAAAAATTATCCTTGTAATCCAAAACCACCTGTACCCCCACAAAACTATTGAAATAAAAATAAAATTTTAAAAAAGTAAAGTAATTAAATAGAAATTTCATTAGATAGAGATATCTCTATCATTAGATAGAGAATATCAATAGATACAATTAATGTTCTTCATGGCAAGACAGTATAACCTCTTAGGTTGTCTTTTCACCATATAAAAATTATTTGCATATTTACTAGGGGCAAATATGCAGGTTAACATGTAACTTTCGAAAGTCTAAGCCATTAATTAGATAATAGCAGTCAAACAATGGCATAGTGTCCTGGAAAAGAAAAAATCATTCAGTGGCTCTAATAAACAATTCTTCAGTATGATACTGAAAGGAGCTGCAGTCATTCTTTTTGCCTTATTTTAAAGTTTTGGATAATTCATCTTACAAGAAATATGTCCCCATGTTGACTAGAAAGAGACAAATATGCAAGACAGAGAAAAGCCAAGGAGTAGAAAACAGTAATGTGTTTGGAGAACAAGTAATTCACTAATGATTGTGTATAAAATTTTTGATGCAGAAGAGGAGGTTGGATAGTTAGTTAGTATCGAAAAGCCACTTGTAAAATAAATAAGAATTTTAAAAGCCCCTCGTGTGCCTGGCTAAGTAAGAAGTTTAGGCTTTATGTAAATATTAACTTGTACCATTTATGGGTTTTAAATAAAGATGAATACAGTTTCAGAGAGAACAGTAGAGAGCAAGGTAGCACGGAAGGGAACTAGACTGCAAAAACTAATCTTTCATCTTTGTTTAGATCCATGCTTCTCTAGATTTAATGTGCATACAAATAAACCACCTCAGGGAACTTGTAAAAATTTATTTTTGTAATTAGTAGATCTGTGATAGCATCTAAGATTCTGCATTTCTAAAAAGCTCTTAGAAAAAGAGCTTTCTTAAAAGCTACTCCTAAAGCTTACTCTTACTTAAAAGTAGCTTTCTTAAAAAGCTACTCTTACACATGGAGTAGCAAGAATTAAGATCAGCACTGTACTAATAGAAATATAATGTTTTAGTGGCCATGTTCCAAAGAAGTAAAAAATTAAAATTAATAAAAAAATAGATTTTATTTTATCCAATATATTTAAAATATTAGCATTTAAACATGTTATCAGTTTTTAAAAGATTGGTAATCAGATATTTTGCATTCTTCTCTTCATACTCATTATTAGATACCCAGCATATCTTTTATATTTACAACATATTTCAATTCAGACTCTAAGTTTTCATTGGGAATATTCGATCTGCATTTTGCACTTCGATTTTATAAAACTCACCACTGAAAAAGTCTTACATATGCAAGTTGATCCAAACATACTCAAAATTTTTGTGGTAACTGAATCAAATTTCCTTTTGGGAGTTTAAATCAGTTAAAATTAAACAAAATTAAATATTTGGTTACTCAGTTGCATTAGCCACATTTCAAGTGCTCAGAAACCAAAAAAGAACACTAGACTATTGAAGACCGCAGGTATAGATGGTAAGAGTCAGAACAAGTACAGTAGTGCTATGCTACAGCATTTAAATGGTACATTAAGGTAAGAAAGTGTAAAGAATAAGTGAAAAAATGCTCAAAGAGGTAGTGAAAAAAATCAGGAGACAGTCCTTATTTAATTCTTATAGCTCAACAGAGCCAATTGTGTACATTTCTTCCCAATTCCGTAATCAGTAATGTTATATTGATAGCTTGAATTTGGCCATGATGAGTGTATTTACAACATAAATATTAGCACATGCTCCATTTCCTCTTCCACCACACATTGCTAAATAGTTACCAGCACATCACTAGGGTTCAGATATCTGAGAGATCAGACTGGTTTATTCCCATTTTCTAAAATTAGTAGGTTTTCATTAGAATAAAATCCACAAAATCCTATAATATCCTACATAATCTGGCTTTAGTCTACCTCTCTAAAACCATCTACGTTATGATATTAGACTACCTTGCTATTCCTTCAACATGCCAAGCATATTCCAACTTACAAATCTCATCACCTGCTGAACATTCTCCCTACCTATCTGTGAATTTCATTCTAATACATATCATTTGCTCAGACTCATTTTTCAGAAAAGTCTTCAGAAACCACCAGTTCTTCCTTAACAATTAGTGATTAACTATCTGCATCCTTGCTTTATTTTTCTTTCTAGAATTAAACACAACCTGAGATAATATATTTTTTAAATTTTGCTTATCTATTTCTTGTCTGTCTCTGGAAATGTGAGCTCTCTGAGAACTGATTTGGTTTTGTTGTCATGCCTCAAGCTCCTAGAGCACTGCATGATACCAGTGGCATTCAATAACAATTTGACACATGTGGAAATAATTGAATAAATGAATTTATTTAAGTGGGACCTATAATACATGGATTTGGTAAATGATTGCCAATGGGGACTAAAAGAGTAGGTGGAGCCAAGAGGTCTCTCAGTTTCCCAGCTTTGGTTGTTAAGGCATGCAGTAAATAAGATAGTAAACATAAGAGGAAGAAGAAATGCGGACATGAGTATTACCAGTTCATCTTTGATCATGCTGAGTTTAAGCGCCTATGGAAACTACAAATAGAGAAGTCCAATAGGACATTCAATATGCAAGTCTGGATTTTGGGAAAGAGACAGAATCTCAGAGATTTGATAACTATTTCTTATAGGTAGCACTTAAAAATCACTTAAGATCACAAAGAAAGTTGATGACAAACGAAGATAAGAAAGTTAAGTGTGAAATTCTGTGTAACACCAAAGTTATGGTGGCAACTAGAAATAATAAACATGTAAGAAAAGTCATAAAAGAAAGAAAATACCAAAACAGCATAGAATCCAGGAGACAGTCATAATTTATTCTTACAATCAAAAATGCCATTTTTTTCTTATGACAAATGCCAGGCATTATAATATGAGGTATTCAAGCAGGGATAAGATATGATTCCTGCTAGATTTCAGAAGAAGAAGGACATGGCAGAAAATACCCATAATTAATCTGAAAGACTTACTGGCTGAATAATGGTTTAGAGTACAGGATGAGGCTGGGTGTAAATCCTTTTGACTTAATCCTCTTTTTCCCACAATCAAGAGAACTTCTCAGGCCCTCCAACCTGTGAGTCCTGAATGAAAAGAAAAAGTCTAAGTGGTAAAGCTAGAGAATTAGGGTATCTAAATATCTTCTGTAGGATCTTCCTCTGAAAGACTCCAATAACAGAAAATGACAGTGTCAAATCAATGTAGGACTTGAGGAACAACCAGTGATTACGTTAGTGAGTCAGATGATTCTCCGGGGCACCAAAGTCCGAAGTCAGAGAGCACTGCTGATTAGACAATTGAAGAACTACTGCAGCAGAACTTACAGGGTCTCAGGAGACCTAGCAGAGGGTGTCAGAGCCTTGACCAGAAACAGGATTTTATGAAATATAGTCCTCAGATCACTTTTGATCTTGGGAACTATGTGGAAGCTATGCAACTTGGCAATTAGATTCTGTTCATCTTTGCAACTCAGGACCAGCCCAAGCTGTTAAAATGATTTTCCCAGGTCTATACATTTGATAGGAGTCAAAGCAGACATTTGGGCTCTATCACAATATTTTTAACATCTGGAAATATTGTTTTAAATAAAAGGTTTTGCATATCTGTTAGAAGTAATCGATCTAAAGTGTGGAGTCCTATCTGTTTCCAGATGCCCTTATCAGTCAGATTTGGACACCCTTATTGGTCTGATTTGTCTACTTGTTGGCTCTGCAATAAGATTGTGATTTATTCTATTCTTATATAATTTATTCTTATATATTATACCTATTCATTTTTATAACTTCATACCTGCAAATAGTGGATGCTTAATATATATTATTTCAATCATTAAAAAAAAAACAAAAAAGATTTCTTCTTTTTATACCTGTAGAGAACTAGCCAAGAACGTCTCAAGTGGAAAGCTCCGTGGCACACTGAGAAACAACACCCACTACAGTGTTGGAGCTGATACAAATTTCAATCTGAAATTGCATTTTTCAACTGAAAATGGGGAAAAATTAAATTTAAAAATTCAGAATAAGTGACTACTGCCTTTAACTTGAATCACTAAGCTAATTTTTTTAAATGTCTACATCTGTACATTCACTTGAGAGTACTCTGGTTATTGTAAAAAAAAAGTCTGTCAGCTAAAGCAGAGATCAAAATACAAATTGTAACACACAGAAACGTTACATGAATTTGTTTCACTCCCTGGAGAACTTCAGGTTCATAAAAAGCAATGAATGTATTACATGAAGACATAAATATGCTCCTGCATTTTCATCTATGACAGATATATTCTTATTGCAATGCAGTCTTTAAAACTACACCACCTTGGGCTATGAGCTCATCAGAGCTCTCAAGCTCAGTGGGGTCAAATCTGGTTAATGTTTGGGAGGGTGACCTCCAAGGAAAATCCAGGTGCAAGAGGATATAATGCTAGTAATTCAATAGATGACATGATTTCCTTTAAGTCACTAATAAGCAATTCTCCCTTAAGGCCATTATCAGACACCATGCTACTGGAGGTTTCTTTGTAAAGATTTAATATATGTGGACATTTAAGATCTCATGAATTCTTTTATATTCTCTTTATTATCTTGATAATCATTCCAAACAACATTTTTTTCCAAATTTTATGGCAAGGTATACATAAAATAAAACGTGTCATCTCAACCATTTTAATTACAGTTCAGTGATATAATACAGTCATATTTTGGGCAACCATCACAACCATTTATTTCTAGAACTCTTTATTTTGTAGAACTGAGACTGTATACCCATAAACAATACCTCCCCTTTCTGTCTTTTTCCAGCCTGGGGCAACCACCATTTTACTTTCTATTTCTATGATTCTGATTATTCTACATACTTGATAAAAGTGGAATCATACAATATTTGTCTTTTGGGGTTTGCCTTATATTTCACTTAGCATAAAGTCCTCAGGATTTATTCTTTTCACAACAAATGTCAGAATTGCCTTCCTTTTTTTTTTTTTTTTTTTTTTGAGATGGACTCTTGCTCTATCACACAGTTTGGAGTGCAGTGGCACGATCTCACCTCACTGCTACCTCCGCCTCCCAGGTTCAAGCAATTCTCCTGTCTCAGGCACCCGAGTAGCTGGAATTACAGGCATCTATCACCATGCCCAGCTAACTTTTGTATTTTAGTAGAGACAGGGTTTCACTATGTTGGCCAGGCTGGTCTTGAACTCCTGACCTCAGGTGATCCTCCTGCCTCGGCCTCCCAAAGTGTTGGGATTACAGGCATGAGCCACTACGCCTGGCCAGAATTGCCTTCCTTTTTAAAGATGAATAATATTCCATTGCGCATGTATGCCACATTTTGCTCATTCCTTCATCCGTTGATGAACATTTGGGTTTCTTTTACATTTTAGCTATTGTGACTAATGTTGCTATGAATGTGCATGTACAAATATCTCTTTGTAACCCTGCTTTCAGTTCTTCTGGGTATTTACCCAGGAGTGTAATTGCCAGATCATGTAATAATTCTATTTGTAAGTTTTTGATAAATGGCCATACTGTTTTCTACATCATTTTATATCTCCACCAAGAATGCAAAGCGTTTCAATTTCTCTACATCCTCACCAACACTTAGTTTCTGTTTTTTGTTTGTTTGTTTTGTTTTTTGTCTTATGATTGTTTGTTTTATAGTAGTCAGCCTAATAGGTTTCAGGTAGTATTTCATTGTGTTTTTGACTTGCTTTTTCCTAATGGCATGCTGAGCATCTTTCCATGTGCTTATTTGTCATTTGACATCTTCTCTAGAGAAATGTCTATTCATATCTTTTGCCCATTTTTGAATGATTGTTTCCTATTGCTAAGTTTTAGAGTTCTCTTCATATTCTGGATATTAACCCTTATCAGATGTATGATTTTAAAATATTTTCTCCTATTCTGTGCATCCCTCGATGCACAGAAGTTTTAAATTCTCATGAAGTCCAGTTTGTGTATTTTTTCTTTTGTTATCTGTACCTTTGCTATCATAGCTAAGAAAGCATTTTCAAATCCAATGTCATGAAGTTTTTGCCCTTTATTTTCTTCTGAGTTTTCTAGTTTTTTGCCTCATGTTTAGGTTTTTAATCCATTTTTGAGTTAATTTTTGTATACGGTGTTAGATAAAGATCCAATTTTATTCTTTTGAATATAGATATACAATTTCCCCTGCACCTTTATTGAAAAGACTATCCTTTCCCCCATTGCATGGTCTCGGAGTCCTTGATGAAAAGCATTTGACCATTTATGCAAAGATTTCTTTCAGGACTCACTTTCCTCTTTTGTTGGTCTATATGTTCCTCTTTATGGCAGTACAATACTGTTTTGATTATTGTAGCTTTGTAATAAGTTTTGAAATCAGAAGTTGTTAGTCATCCAATTCTGCTCTTGTTTTTCAGTATTGTTTTGTATATTAAGGGTTCCTTAAGATTCCATGTAAGTTTCAGGAGGTCTTTTTCTATTTCTACACAAAAATGTCATTGGGACTTTGATAAATATTGCATTAAATTTATAGATTGCTTCAGGTAGCATTTACATCTTAATAATATAAAGTCATCCAATCAATGAAAATCAAATGTGTTTTCATTTATTTACATCTTCTTTAATATCTCTTAGCAATGTTTAATAGTTTTCACTGTACAAGTCTTATAACTTCTTGGTTAATTCCTAAGTACTTTATTCTTTTTGATGCTATTATAAAGAGAGCTTTTTTTATAATTTTCCTTTCAGCTTACTCATTGTTAGTGTATAGAAAGGCAATAGTTTTTTTTGTGGTGACTTTTTATCCTGCTAATTTGCCAATTTTTTTTTAGTTCTAACCAATATTATTCTGGAATCTTTAGGACTGTAACACATAAGATCATATTATCTGCAAACAGAAATGATTTTATTTCTTCCTTTTCCATTTGAATGCCTATTATTTCCTTTTCTTGCCCAGTAGCTCTGGCTAGACTTCCAGCACTATGTTGAATAGAAGTGGTGAAAGCAGCCATCCTTGCTTTGTTCCTGATCTTAAAGGAACAAAACATTCAGTCTTTCCCCAAAAAGTGTGATGTTCTCTTGGGCACTTGGGTTACTTCCACATTTGAAGGGTTGAAGGGTTTCAACTTCTCTACATTTTCACCAACAGTGAGATTTTCATGTATGAAATCTGTTATGTTGAAGTAGTTTACTTCTGTTCTTGGTTTGTTGATTTTTTTGATAAAAGAGAGTTAAATTTTGTCAAATTATTTCTTTGTATCATGATATAATTATGTATATTTTTTTGTGCTTCATTCTGTTAATGTGGTCTGTTACGTCAATTGATTTTCATATGTTGAGCCGTATTTACAGTCCAAGAATAAATCCCACTTGGTAATGGTGTATAAATCTTTCAATATGCTTTGAATTCCATTTGCTAGTATTTTGTAGAGGATTTTTGCATTAATGTTTATAAGAGATATTAGCTTATAGTTTTCTTTTCTTGTAGTATCATTGTCTGGCTTTGGTGTCAGGGTAATGCTGGCTCCATAGGATGAGTCAGAAAGTACTCCCTCCTCTTTTTTTTTTCTAATTTTCTTGGAAAAGCATGAAAAGAACTGGGGTTAGTTGTCCTTCAAATATGTGGTAGATTCATAATTGAAGCCATTAGGTCCAGGGCTTTTATTATATTTTATTATTTTTCAGGAGTTTTTTTTCTTTACTGATTTAATCTTACTACTTATAGGTCTTTTCAGATTTTTCATTTCTTTTAGTCATGGTAGGTTGTGTTTTTCTAGGAGTTTGTTCATTTCATAGAGGTTATCCAATTTCTTCATATACCATTGCTCATGGTACTCTCTAATAATATTTTTTATTTTTGTATAATTTGTAGCAGTGCCCCCAGCTTCATTTCTGATTTTAGTAATCTGAGGCTTCTCTCTTTTTTTCTTAGTCCATCTTGCTCAAGATTTGTCAATTTTGTTGATATTTTTAAAGAACTAAACGTAATATAACTGACTGATGAGAGAGATTACTTGCTAGGATGGCTATTTTTATGTCAACTTGACTAAGTCAGAGGGTTCCAAGATATTTGGCTGTTATTCTGGGTGTGTCTCTGAGGCTGTTTCTGGAGAAGATAAACATTTGAATTGGTGGACTGAGTAAAGCAAATTGCCCTCTCTATGTGGGTGAGCTTCATCTAATCCACTGAAGGCTAAACAGAACAAAAAGGCTGAATAAAGGAGAATCCATTTATTCTTAATCCATTTATGTCTTAAATGTCTTCCAGCCAGGTCATCAATCTTCTCCTGCCTTGAAACTTAGACCAGAATTTTTACCATCAGCTTTCTTGATTCTCAGGCCTTTGGACTCAGACTAAAACTACACCATCAGCTCTCCCAGGTGTCTGTAGCTTGCCAGTCTTGGAACTTCTCAGCCTCCATAATCATGGGAACCAATTTTTTATTGTAAATCTCTTCCTATATATATAACCTATTGTTTCTGTTCCTCTGGGGAACCCTGACTAACACACGTGTTATATCTACCTTAGCACAACCAGTAAGTAGTTCTGACATTCCTACTTTATTTAATGTGGGCCATCACCTTCTTAAATTTCCAAAAGCCATCTTGGCGAAATGTTAGTGCCCTCTCTGACAATCATTGCCAGGGAGATAAGCTTATCCTAGGAGAGAATTCCCTATGATAAATATTCCTTTATCAAACATGTTCTGCCTCAGCAATCCTGCAACCTTTGAATCTATCTACTGCTATCCATACTCTGCTAGCTTTGACAACGAATGTTGGCTAGGCCTTATAGTTCTTTGGGGTATAGTTCCTTTCCTTTCTTGGCAGGTTCACCACTTCCTGCACCTGTAAATTCTTGAAGGTGCATGACTTGACCTACTTGTTGATCTAGTGACAACATGGGAAGGTGAATACAGATTTTGAGGCAGGTTCATGTTGTATATTTTCTTCAAGCAAGAGGTACACTAGCCTTTACTAAGGACTGAACTATATCTCCAGAGAGTTTAGGGGATTTAAAAGTTTTAAAAGCAACGTGTCTTTTTTTTTAAATTTTTGTCTGCTTTGATTTGGAAGTTCTCTGTGTATCATTAAGGCCTCAACTAAAGCCTTGACCTTGGCATAGGAGACTTGAGGAATTGATCATTTAAATTTCTGTACGCACCTCTATTACTTTTATTATTAACTCCTAAGCCTGGACTTTAGTTTTTTCTGCATGCAAGAGATAAAGAACTTTTAAAAATCCTGCTGAGGAGGACATCTACCATTCACATTTTCCATTTACTTGGTGACTGCATCCTCAGTCTTTGATTCACTATACTAGTGGGACAATGATACTTAGCAAAGCCTGTCGAATTCCATTGTTGTTATAATTAACACATTTTCCCAGACCCTCACCTTACTGAAATTTTACTGATAATCTATCCTAACTGGCTATCAGTAAAATTTTAACAATTGCACTGCTACAATATACCGGGGCACTTAGTGTTCTATCCACTACAAAATTAAGGGTCTTCATTACTAGTTGACCAGCGGTTGGTCCATATCTCATGTCTCACTTTAGAATACACTCTCTTGGACCAATCTAGCACTAGTTGTCTTAGGTCAGATTTCCTGGGATATAGATTTTGAAAGCGTTTTTCATGCAGAGCCTTTACCTAGGGATGTCAATGATATCAACAACTCTGGAGCAGTTAAGGAAAAAACGTACACAGAGTAAGAGAAAAGAGGCCTCAGCCAATCTCATGAATGTCCCTTTAGAGTAACACCCCTAGGAATAGTAGACTATATTTTATATCTGTGTCGCCAGTCTAGCTGTTGTCAAACTTTTTTTCTGTAAAAGCCAAGTAGTAAATATTTTAGGCTTTGTTCTATAATGACTAAGTAGTGAATATTTTAGGCTTTTTGGGTCACATTCATTCTGTCACATATTCTCTCCCTCTTCTTTTTCTTTCCTCCTATATGAAAACACTTTAAAATATAAAATTTATTTTTATATTTTGCACCCTATAAAAACAAAGTTGGTCTGTGGCCATATTTTACTTATCTGAGAAAAGTCAACAAGTATGTGCTTCCTTCAGGAAGGGGATGTGAGATTGAGTTACTTGGTTCTTGTGAAGCTAGATAAATTCCTAGACAAAGACTCATCTTGGTTGTTCAATCTTCAACACTTATAGAAGCTGTGGGTAGTGAGCGACCCAATCTTGATTAGAGAATTTACATGATACATCACTAAATACACTCTCCACAAAAGCTCTATTCTAGCAAGAGACATAGACAATAGACCATTAAATAAATAAGTACATAATTATGGCCAGGCATAGTGGCTAGCACCTGTAATCCCAGCATTTTGGGAGGCCGAGAGGGGTGGATCACTTAAGGTCAGGAAATTGAGACCAGCCTAGCCAACATGGTGAAACTCCATCTCTACTAAAAATACAAAAAATTAGCTGGGTGTGGTGGCATGTGCCTGTAATCCCAGCTACTCGGGAGGCTGAGACAGAAGAATCACTTGAACCCAGGAGGTGGAGGTTGCCGTGAACTGAGATCACACCATTGCACTCCAGCCTGGGCAACATAGTGAGACTCCATCTCAAAAAATAAATACATTTATACATACATACATAATTATGAAGTTATAAATGCTTTGGAAAAAATAGTAGAGCAAAGTAAGGAGGATCAGATATGGGAGATAGGTTTCACTTTAATATAGTTGGGCAAACATCTTTAAGATGGTTAAGTATGTGATTTTTATAAAGATACAATTAAACTGACATATCAAATCTATAGTTTGAAGTGTTTTGATAACTGTATACAGTTGTATAAATATGATCACAATTAAAATACACAACACATCCATTATTTCCTCTCTGCCAAAATTGCCTTTTGTCTCTGTAGACCATCCTTTTGACCCATCCTAAGACCTTGGCAAACAAACACTGTCACGTTTTTTCTCCCTATAAAGTTTTGTCTTTTCCAGAATGCATGTAAATGGAATCTTGTAGTCTTCTACCACTTAACACATGCTTTTGAGTTTCATCCATGTTATTTTATGTATCAACAATTCATTCTTTTTTATAGCTGAATAATATCTTATTAAATGGACATACCACAACTTGTTTATCTACTTAGCAGTTGATGGATATTTGGGTTGTATAAGTTTTTCCATTTTTTTTTTTACTGTTAAGAATATAGCTTATATGAACAGTTGCATGCAGGTCTTTATGTGCACGTTTTCATTTCTTTCAGGTGAAATATCTTGGGCCAAAATAGAAGGGTCATAAGTGTTTTACCTCCATAAGAAACTGCTAAGAGTTTTCCAACATGAGTATACAATTTTGCATTGCCAGCACCAATGCATGGAATATCTAGTTGCTCCAAATTCTGAGCATCATTAAGCATTGTCAATCTTTAAAAATTTTAGCCATTGCAGTTGTTTCATGATATTTCAGTTATGACTTTCATTTGCATTTGCTCAGCGTATTCTCAAATGCTTTTCAGCCATTTGCATTTTCTTCCTGCTAAAGATGTCTGCGGAAACACTTTGCACATTTTATTATTGTTTTTCTGTGCTTCTATTTTTGTGTTATAAAAGATGTTTACATATTTTGGATGCAAATCTGGCATTTGATAAGTGTTTTGCAAACAGTTTTTCCAGTTGGTGACTTCTCTTTTCCCTTTACCTAACAGCAACTTTCAAAGAAGAAAAGTTTTTAATGAGATGGAGATTTATATATATATATATATATATATGTATATGTGTGAATATATATATATGTATATGTGTGAATATATATATATGTATATGTGTGAATATATATATATATGTGTGTGTGTGTGTGTGGCTTATGCTTGGTTTTGTCCTAAGTAACATCTGCCTAGTGCAAAATCACACACACACACACACACAAATCATCTTTTTTTTTTTTAACTTCTAAAGTTTTCTAGTTATAGCTCTTCCATTTGGGAGGATGGTTCATATCAGCTTTATGTTTTTTTTTTGTTTTTTTTTTTTTGAGACGCGGTCTCCCTCTGTCACCCAGGCTGGAGTGCAGTGGCATGAGCTCTGCTCACTGCAAGCTCCGCCTCCTGGGTTCACACCATTCTCCTGCCTCAGCCTCCCGAGTAGCTGGGACTACCGGCGCCCGCCACCGCGCCCCTGTAGTATTTTTTTTTAGTAGAGACAGGGTTTCACCATGTTAGCCAGGATGGTCTCGGTCTCCTGACCTCGTGATCTGCCCGCCTCTGCCTCCCAGAGTGCTGGGATTGCAGGCGTGAGCCACTGCGCCTGGCCATCAAGTTGGTTTTTATATATTAACACCTAATTTTTAAGTACTGTTTGTTGGAAGACTAGACTTCTACAACTGAATTACATTCGGGCCTTTGTAAAATAAATGTGTGGTTCTGTTACCAGACTATTTTTTCTATTTTATCAATATATGTCTATTTTTATGTCTTGATTACTGCCTCTTTTAACTTTATGAGTTTGTATATGTATATTCAGGAGGATGGCATGAATACTGATGGGAAGGTAGAGTATATTTTAAAGCAACATGGTAAGATTTATTTATTTAGAGATATTATCTGATAAAATAAAGCAAAATATACATTCAATAAAAGTCCCAGGCACGCACATTTTTCGTCATACTTTAACATTAAAATTAAACTAACAAGGTAGGCTAGATATACAAATAATTTCAAAATAAAAATTTTTAAGCATAAACCTTAGTATTTTATTCACAAACAGGTTTTAACTGAATCAGAATGACAATATTCCTTACCAATGCTTCTTACATTAATTCCTCAAGTATTTATTGAAATTTAGATATTCACTTCATTGTGTTTGAAGATAGAACTCCTCTAACAAAGATTTGTCTCTCTCCCCAAGGTTTTTAGAGTAGTAAGAAAATTTGTGTATATATCATAAAAATATGTGGTAAGTACTGTGAGCATGTAATCTTTGCACTGAATTCAGAAAGGCTAGTCAAAGAAAAGATGCTAGTGTTAAATTCAAAAGAATAAGTATATTTTTTTTTCTAATAAATCACTAGATTAAATTTTATTGGTTGAAGGTGAAAGGTTTGTGTATTTTTTTGTTTGTGTATTTTTTTGTTTGTGTTTTTGAATCCCCTGAAGTCCATTTTTATACCTGTTATTCACAGTACATATTGACAACAAAGATGAGTTAAATGCTTTCCTCAATAAATTCCTAAAAATATAGTGTTCTATTCCCTTTAAATGTATAAAGTTTGGCCAAGCAACTTTTTATCTTTATTTAAAAAATGAGTAATAGAAGATTGATACCTACTCACCCTGGACCTAATAAATATTCAAACCCTGTACTATCTGGTTAATTATTTTATCAGAAGATATTTCAGAAGCTCAAAAAATATATGAATGCATTATCCAGTGTGGCTTTCTCTTGAGTAGTAATTTATACTTTGGTAAGTTCCGACTGCCTTCAGATGACAATGATGATGATTTAGTGCAAGGAAGCCACGATTTATCACAAACGATACACACAATGAACTACTGGAGAAGCACAGAGTAAGATGAAAAGGACCCAAGGATTCCTCTCTCATTATATTGAGTCTTAAATATTGTTTCAGTTTTCCCTCCTAGTCTATCACTGCCACTTAGTAAATTATTTAAATGGCAGGGACTGGAGATAATATTCAAAAACTAATCCATTTTGTTATTAAGTTGAATGAACTATAAATTAATTTTTACCATAAAGTAATTTTCAATGAATAGCCATTGGCCTAACTGTGGAATCAAAGACATTTAGGTTATTTTTTTTCTTTCTGCAAAAGATTTGTTAAATATAAGATTCAGCAAATCTGTTTTCTTACTGTTACAAAATTAATAATGGTTCAACAAAAAGAATTTTTAATTTTTAAAACATTTTAAAAATTAGCATTTATTTGAATTAAAGCTATACATGTTATCTAAATTATTACATTTCCACCTATATGACTAGAATTATTTTAATTAAAATCAACAACTGATTTTCTCAATCAGAAGCAATGGTTTGCAATTATAGTTACTGAAACTAGTAAAATGATTAATTATCTGTTTAGTAAATACAAAATATTCTTAGAAGACAAACAACAAAGGAATCCTGCAGGAATCACATCTTGGAGATCACCTTAACTAGGGCTAGAATATTTGGATTTATAATATTGGATAATATTTAGTTTCTTAGATTTTGAATCAAATTTTTTAAAAATATATGTGCAATAATATTTATGTCTTGCTTAAATAAATGTTGGCATTTCTAGGTCTATCTTTACATAGAAAATTAAAGTCTCCATGAGGGTTAAAACGTTTAATAAACTATGTACTATAATTATTTTTGAACTTACACATTTTTATTTGAAAGCCCAAGTATACTCTAAATGGTGCAGGACTTTAAAAGTGACATAAGAAGGAAAACCTAGAAGACTTCCATACTGAAATATGTTCAGTAGTTAAATTGTAGCAAAACTTATACCAGCAATTATTTTCTTTTCTCAAAAAGCTTTTATATAAAGTCTTCTGCACATTACATGTTGATAATAAAGGATACATAGTTTAAAAGAGCTCCAGTGGAAGGAGAGGAAATAACTTATTTTGAGTGCCCATTGTGTGCCCACAGCTTCACATATAAGCCTCACAATAACCCTGCAGGTAGGCATTACTTTATATTATATGTAGAGAAGCATGTGGAGATTAAATTATTTGCCTGGTTTTGTACAGCTGGTATACAGCAAAGTCAAGATTCAAACTTGAATATTTATAAGCCAAAATTGTAAGCTCTTTTCTTTATGATACAAACATTCAAGATAGCCTAATATCTACCAAACCCCATCTCTTTGCAAGACGTATAAGAGCATAGAAGCTTAAGGAGCTAAAGCAACTTCTCAAAATATTTTGATCATGGACTTTTAATCCTGAAGAATGATGGAGTGGATGCACTTCTTCGTATTTCAATCCTTACAGTGAACAAAACCCTGTGTGTCTCACATGTTATACACATAAGGAGGCTCTAAAAGACAAAGAGAAGAAGGGCAGACCAGCTAGAGACACCAGGGCCCAAGGAAAGAAATGTCAGTGAGTTATCTGGATTTTCCTTTGGCTTCATATATCACAAAATGGACACTAGGAAACCTGGCAATTTGGAAACACCAACAAGGACAACAAAAAAGCCCTAACAAAAGCCTCTTCTATACAGCCAAAGGACCCGGAAAAGGGTAGCAAAGCTAGAAAGATGTTTAGACAACAATCACTCTACTCTAGTCAAACAGCATGAATAAAAACCAAAAACACCATGGCCCCACCTCTGTCCCCATCAGCAGAGGCTGAGTGGGGAACCAAGACTTCCAATCTTTCCCAGATGTAACAAGGTATCTTCTTTGGCGACCACAAGGGTAGAGTTAGGAAGGCCTTCAGTACATTGTCTCTTTAATGTGGCCAAGATACAAAAGAATGCACTGGACAAATATCATGACCTGTTGACTTACTGCTGCATCTAATAATTCACATGAATCATCAAAAAAAATCTAAGTTCCAGAGGTGACCCTTATTTATACTCTCTCTCTAAAATATAGAACTCAAAGAATACTATTTGGAAATAAGTCTCTAGAATATACTTGAGACTTTTGCAGACTCTTTTTGGTGTCTCAAGTGAAAATAAATAGGTTGTTCTACAGTGAGAGCACATAGACACAGGTAGGGCAACATTGCAGGCCAGGGCCTGTCAGTGGGTGGGGGGAAAGGGAGGACCTCACGCATGCGGGGCTTAAAATCTAGATGACAGGTTGATAGGTACAGCAAACCACCATGGCACAGGTATACCTATGTAATAAACCTGCACATTCAGCAAATATATCCCAGAACTTAAAGTAAAATAAAAAATAAAATAAAATAAAACACTTACACTTGAAAAAAATAGGTGGTTCTAGTGGTCTCAGATATGAAAAAGGGAAATCACAAACATGAGTAAATATAATAATTATTTCTGTATTGCTGCCTACTTGTTTAAATGATTTTATATGATGGAATGTCAAAAATCTTCCTGCTAAGTTCTCCAAGTAAGCTGTTTTTTCTTGCAAGAAAGTCTTCACATTTTATAAATGTTAATGCTTCTAAATTAGTTTGATGCAACCCTGTGACATTTTTTATTCAAGTAGACAGAGAATACTTTTACTTTTGCATCTTGCTTTTGTTTGTATTAATTAGTGGGCACCCCAGGAGTAATAATTCTTTAGTACTATATAATAATAATAAAAATGAATTTTATATATAAAATATTCACCTCCTAGATATTATTAAAATTTGAATGATTATCTTTAATTTTATATATGCCAAATGCCAATAGTCATAATTGCTTAATAAATTCATACCTATTTTCTCTTTCTATAAAGTTATCCTCTTTCAAATCATTTTTATTTGATAGATGTATTTACATAATTTATGTATTAATTTGAGGAATATCTTAGTGAATTTTATAAAACAGAATTCAATGATTTTTATTGACAGTTTCTAATAAATCTATTCAAATAAAACTTTTAGCTTTATTAGAACTGTGAAATTCTACAAAACTAAACAATTGATCCAAGATGTTTTAGTCTTTACAGAGCACATAGCTGAAATATAGTAGATATTTAATACCTAAGAAATCACTGTATCTTCATGAGAAAAAAGAAGAAATATCCTTCAAAAATGGAATAAAACATTTTATAGCCACGTAGCCATACTATTAATATATTGTTAAGCAAAATAGACATTGCCTCTGTATGTGTGTGTGTATGTGTCTGAAATATCTGACAATGTGTCTATTTGGTGAGAAATTAATAGTTTGTTAAAAACACCTACTTGAAGGAAATGAAGAACTCTGTGTGTCTATAATCTTTTCCCAAAATGAAAGGAAAGTTGTTCCACTGGAAAATATTCAATAAGTCAATACTAAACTTAATAGCTCTTCTTTTTTCTGCATATTTATGGAATAGATTTCACTTTCTTTATGTTAGTAATGTGAGATAATAAAAGAGTATACTGACATTTACATGTCAGAAAAATAAATGATGTTTCTCGCTAAAATGACTACTGTTTAAACACATTAATCTAGCTAAAACATTGTGTATAAGAAAAATAGAAAATGATATCTTAGCTATAGCTTAATTCTAGGAATCAGACATCATTCTTTCTGATCCTATCATAGAATAATTTTATAGAATGGCAAAGAGTTATTACATGTACCCAAATTTCCAGAACCATAGATGTTATCCCGAATCACAGAATTGCCTTCAAAACTTAATCATGGATTAAAATAGTTGATTACAGACATCTAATACTTTCCTCCTTCACGAAGGAGGATGAAAACAATAAAGATGTAGCCTAACATTGAATAGAGCATCTAAGAGAGAACACCGGAATACAGCAAGAAAATGACAAAGACCCTCTGAGGCAGAGAAACACAAGATGGCAAGATAGAGATGGAAGTGAAGTAGCTGGTTAAGATCCAATGAAACCCAAGGGAGACTCCCTCTTGTTGGTAAAAGTAAGTGGGCGATCCCCAGGACTCTACATTCTTACCACTGATACTTGCAATCCTGACTACAGGAGAGCCCTTCAGGCCTCATTGGTTCTAAGACTCACATAGGAACTTCCTTGCATCAATGGAGTGCATTTTCATAGACAGGAAATTCACTCTGAGTCACCCTCAAGCCCCCCCAGACCCTGATGCAGTACAGAGTCATTTTGAGAATAGAGCCACAACCAAACTACATCTTGCCCTAAGGCTCAATAGCCCATGTGTCTCCACATTTTAATTTTGCACCTCAAGGAACTAGAAAAACAAGAACAGACCAAACCCCAAATTAGTAGAAGAAAAGAAACAATACAGATCAGAGAAGAAATATATGAAATTGAGACTAAAAAATACAGAAGATCAATGAAATGAATTTATTTCTTCAAAAAGATAAGCAAAATTGATAAAATTTAGCTAGACTAAAAAGAGAGAAGACCCAAATATATAAACTCAGTGATGAAAAAGGGCATATCACAATGGATACCACAAAAATACAAAGGATCATTAGAGACTACTATGGATGACTACATGCCAATAAACTTGAAAAACCTAGAGGAAATTAATAAATGCCTGTATACAAGCAGCCCACAAAGATTGAACCATGAAGAAATAGAAAACCTAAATAAACCAATAATCAGTAACAAGATCAAAGCCCTAATAAAAAGTATCCCATCAAAGAAGAGCCTGGGACCTGATGTCTTCAAAGCTGAATTCCACCAAGCATTAAAAAAAGAACTAATATCAATCCTACTCAAAATTCTTCCAAAAAATTGAAGAGGCGAGAATACTTCCAAACTCATTCAATAAGGCCAGCATTACCTCAATACCAAAAGCAAAATAGGACACAACAAACCAAACAAAACAAAAAAACTATAGGCCAGTCTCACTGATAAAATCCCCACAACAACAACAAAAATATTGCAGACTGAATTCAACAATACATTAAAAAGATCATCTGCCATAATCAAGTGAGATTCATCCCAGGGATGCAAGGATGGTTCAACATATCCAAATAAATAAACATGATATCACACTAACAGAATCAATAACAAAAACCATATGATTATTTCAATAGATGCCAAAAAATCCTTTTGATAAAAGTCAATATCCCTTTGTAATAAAGGCCCTTATCAAAATGAGTATAGGAGAAACGTACCTTAAAATAATAAAGACCACATGACAACCCATAACTAACATTGTACTGAACGCAGAAAATTGAAGGCTTTTTCTCTGAGGACTTGAGAAAGACAAGGATGCCCACGTTTATTCAATATAAACTTGGAACTCCTGACCAAGCCAATTAGACTAGAGAAAGAAATACAGGGTATCCAAACTGGAAAGCAATAAGTCAAATTAGCCTTGTTCACAGGCAACATGATCTTATACCTAGAAAAACCTAAAGACTCCACCAAAAAACTGTTAGAACTTCTAAATTCAATAAAGTTGCAGGATACAAAAAATCAGTAGCATTTAGGTACATTAACAACAAATAATTTGAAAAAAATCAAAAAAGCAGTTTCATTTACAATACCTACAAAAATATAGTGTCTAAAAATGAACCGAACCCAGGAAGTGAAAGATCTGTACATGGAAAACCATAAAACATTGATGAAATAAATTGTAAATTGAAGATGACATTAAAAAGATGAAAGATATTCCATATTCATGGATCGGAAAAATTAATATTGTTGAAACATCCATAATAATGAAAACAATTTACAGAATCAATGTAATCCCTATCAAAATACCAAGATATTGTTCACAAAAATGAAAAAACATTCTAAAATTTACAGGGAACCACAAACGATCCTGAATAGCCAAACCAATCCCGAGAAAAAGGAACAAAGTTGGAGGCACCACACTATCTGACTTTAACATTTACTACAAAGCAATAGTAACCAAAACAGCATGGTACTGGCATAAAAACAGACACATAGACCAATAGAACAGAATAAAGAACCCAGATATAAATATACATATTTATAGCCAACTCATCTTCAGCAAAGCTGCCAAGAACATACATTGAGGCAAGGACAGTCTTTTCGATAAATATTCTGGGAAAACTAGATAACTATGTACAGAAGAATAAAATTAGACCCCATTTCTCATGATACACAAAAAAATCGAACCAAAATGAATTAAATACTTAAAGATCTAAGCCCTGAAACTATGAAACTAATGGAAGAAAACATTGAGGAAACACTCCAGGATATTCTGTGCAAGACTTTAAAAGTGTAGGTAACCAAATAAAAAATAGACAAATGGGATTGCATCAAGCTAAAAATCTTCTGCATACCAAGGGAAACAATCAACAAAGTTAAGAGACAACCCACAGAGCGGGAAAAATATTTGCAAACTATCCATCTGACAGGGATGATACTGCTGGCAATTGTTGCTATGCTTTATCAAAGAGACTGGGGGCATTTTTCCCCTGCCCTAGAGATCTGTGGAAATTTGAACTTGGGAGAGATGACTTTGGGTATCTGGCAGAAGAAATTTCTTAGAAGCAAAGCATTCAAGAGATCCCTTGTGTGCTCTTAAAAGCATTCAGTTTTATTGATTCACAAAGATATGGTTTGGAATTGGAACTTACGTTTAAAAGGGAAACAGAGCATAAAAGTTCAGAAAATTAGCAGCCTGTCAATACAGTGGAAAAGAAAAACCCATTTTCTGAGGAGAATTTAAATTTGGCAGCAGAAATTTGTGTAAGTAATGAGGAGCCAAATGCTAATTACAAAGACAATGGGGAAAATGACTCCAGGCCATGTCAGAGACCTTCAAGAAAGCCCCTTCTATCAGAGGCCCAAGGTAGGAGGAAAAAATGGTTTCCTGGGCTGAGTCCAGGGCCCCACTGCTCTGTGCAGCCTTGGGACATGATGCCCTGAGACTCAGCTGCTCCAGCCATGGCTTAAAGGGGCCAAGGTACAGCTCGGGCCCATGGTTTTAGAAGGTGCAAGCCCCAAGCCTTGGCAGCTTCTACATGATGTTGAGCCTTCAGGTGCACAGAAGTTGAGAATTGAAGTTTGGGATCCTCAACCTAGATTTCAGAGGATGTATGGAAACACCTGGATGTCCAGGAAGCTGTTTGCTGCAGGGGTGGAGCCCACATGGAGAACCTCTACTAGGGCAGTGCAGAAAGAAAATGTGGAGTGGGAGCCCCTACAGTGTCCCCACTGGGGCACTGCCTAGTAGAGCTGTGAGAAGAAGGCCACCATCCTCCAGACCACAGAATGGTATATCCACAGATAGATTGCACCGTGCACCTGAAAAGCTAGAAACACTCAACAGCAGCTCAAGAAAGCAGCTGAGAGAGGGGCTGTACCCTGCAAAGCCACAGGGGCAGATCTGCCCAATACCATGGGAGCCAACCTCCTGCATCAGCATGACCTGGATGTGAGACATGGAGCAGAAGATCATTTCAAAGCTTTGGGATTTCTCTACCTCACTGGATTTTGGACTTGCATGGGTCCTGTAGCCTCTTAAGTTTGGCCAATTTCTCCCATTTGGAACAGGCAATTCAAACTGTTTAGATAAATCTTAACAAAATTCAAGACAACCCAGATAACGAATTTAGAATCTTATCAGGTAAATTTAACAAAGAGATTAGATAATTTTAAAAATCCAGGAGAATTTCTGAAGCTGAAAAATTCAATTGGCATAATGAAGAATGCATTAGAGTCTCTAAACAGCAGAATTGATTAAAAAAAAATGGTGAGCTTAGAAACAGGCTATATTAGTCAATTTTCATGCAGCCAATAAAGACCTACATGAGACTGGGCAACTTACAAAAGAAAGAGGTTTATTGGACTTACAGTTCCACATGGCTGAGGAGGCCTCACAATCATGGTGTATGGCAAGGAGGAGCAAGTCACATCTTACATTGATGGCAGCAAGCAAAAAGAGAGCTTGTGCAGGAAAATTCCTGTTTTTAAAACCGTCAGATCTTGTGAGACTAATTCACTGTTATGAGAACAGTGCAGGTTAGAGCCACCCCTGTAATTCATTCACCTCCCACTGGGTTCCTCCCATGAAAATGTGGGAATTGTGGGACTCAAGATGAGATTTGGGTGGTCCCACAGCCAAATCATATCACAGCCTATTGGAAAACACACAGTCAGAGGAGACAAAAGAAAAAATAATAAGAAATAATAAAGCAAAACTACACGACATAGCAAATAGCCTCAAAAGGCAAAATCTAAGAGTTATTGACCTTATAGAGGATGTAGAGAGATTAGCACACAAAGTTCTTTAAAGGGATATAAACAGAATAATTTCAAAACCTAGAGAAGATATTGATATTTAAGTACAAGAAGTTTAGAGCACACCTAGCAGATTTAACCCAAATAACTACCTCAAGACATGTAATAATAAAACTCCCAAAGGTCAAAGAGAAAGAATCATTAAAGCAGCAAAAGAGGTACAAAAGAGCTCCAACACATCCGGCAGCAGCCTTCCCAAAGGAAACCTTATGGGCCAGGAGAGAGTGGCATGACATATTTGAAATGCCAGAAAAAAAAACCTTTTATTATTCAATAGTACATCCAGTGAAAATATCCTTCAAACAAGAAGGAGAAATAAAGACTTTTCCAGTCAAACCAAAGCTGAGAGATTTCTTCAACATCAGACCTGTCCTACAAAAAATGCTAAAGGGAGTTCTTTAATCTGAATGAAAAGGATGTTAATGAGCAATGAGAAATCATCTGGGGGTATGAACTCACTAATAAAAATAAATACACAGACAAATATATAATATTATACTATAATTGTGGACTATAAACTACTCATATGTTGAGTAGAAAGACTAAAGAAGAGCCTATCAAAAATAATACTATGAAAACTTTCCAAGACATAGACAGTATAATAACATACAAAAATAAACAACCAAAAAAAACTTAAAAAGCAGAAGGATGAAGTTAAAATGTAGACTTTTATTAGTTTTCTCTTTGCTCTTTTGTTTACTTTGTTTCATCAATCAATTGGAATTGGTCATCTGTTTTAAATAATGAGATATAAGATGTAACTTTCAAGCCTAATGGTAACCTAAAATCAAAAAGACACATAAGAGAAACACAAAAAAATAAAAAGCAAGAAATTAAAACACACCACCAGATAAAATAACCATTACATAACAGTGAACAATCTGAAAAAATTAAGAAAGTAATCCCATTTACAATAACTACAAATAAAATGTATTATGTTCCCAACATAAAGAAATGACACGTATCTGAAATGATAGATATGCCAATTACCCTGATTGGATCATTAAACATTGTGTACATATATCAAAATATCACACTGTGTTCATAACACATGTAAAATTATTATATGTCAATTAAAAATGAAAGAAAAAAGAATACACTTTTGGGATTTACACTTTTTCTAAAAAGTAAAAACCTAATCATGGCTAAAAAATTCTTAAGACATTGTAGGAAACTGTTGCCCAATGCACTAGATAAATATGATGTTCAGAACCCACATCAAATTGCCATTCTCTCTTTTTTTGGTAGCATTTTTAAGACGTCCTCCAATATCTAAGCTCTACTTGGTACTACTCCTGAGATGATTATAATGAATTCTACACTATCATTGCATATAATAATGCAATGTGTGCTGAATGTGAAGGAAATCTCTAGATTTTTACTTTGCCACATTAAAATAGAAGAAATCCATCTCACATGACCCAGAAATTCTATTCCTAGTCATTTCCACTCTGGAGAACCTTTCACAAGCATCTATATAGAAACATTATAAGACCCTTTATGGCAATTTATTAATAACAAAATAATATCAATCCAAATATTAATAAGGAATAAATTACAGTATAGTCATAAAATGGAATACAAGCACTTAGAAAAATTTTTCTTACTAAAAATGTTAAAATTTCAAACAATAAACATTATTTTAAAATGTAATTGTCTTCAGTAAGTACTTGAGTAAGTCTGAAATTAGTTTTATAAGTGAATTTTAAAAGAAAGTGATACATTTAGAGAACTGATTATATCTTCCATCATGTATATGTTGCTGCAGGGAATTCATAAGAAATGTACTTTAAAGACTTAAATTGGTAAGAAGACTTCCATAAGTAAAGTGCTATTATGCATATGAAGCAAATGTTAAAAATGGAAATGACACACATAAAGTAAAATAGCAAATAATATAGAGTATAGAAACAGAAGAAAGACATTTACATTATTGGAACAAAGTTTCAAGTTATTTTTATAACTCAGAATATAACCCATTTTGCTCTTTATAAAAACAACTATCATCATTTTTAGTTCCTGTTGGCTTAAAAAGTTCAGAGAAATTACAATATTGATTTAAAGATACTATGATCAATGAAAAATAAACGAATACCACCAAAACAGACATCCATATTAACCTAATAATAAATGTTAAAAAAAACTAAATTGCGATAGAAATATGAATGCTTTAGGCAAGAGAGGACAAATGAACTCAGAAAGAGTGTGAACATTATCTATTTATTTTTTGAAAAAAATAATTATTGGTTACTTTCCAGTTGTCAGATACAATGCTAATTTCCAAGGTGAATTATAAAATTAAATAAAGCAAATCCCTACTCTCAGAAATGTGCTTCCCAACAGATGTGAAAACTATGTAGAAAGAATTGAATTGAAGAAAACTATTTCTTGAATAACGAGAATTGATACAAATAATGCAAACACTGGTTTAAATACGCAATTGAAACTAAAAGTCTAACTGGTATTGAGGAAGTAGTAGATACATGCTATTAATTAGGATAAGCTATCATTCAAAATGGCATTGATGACAATATTATGATTTTATTCTATAGATGATTACCATAGGTTATAATGAGAAATCAGGGAAAGAAGCAAAAAGAGGGCAGCCCTAAAGATATCACCTCTGTATTGAGTTAATAGAGTGAAAACTGGAAATCAACTCAAGAAATAAGAACAATTTTACTTTTACTTTCATTTATATTACCTCACAATATGCTCTAATGTTTCTAATATTACCTAATACACCTAATATTTCCAAAGACAAATTTTGTTTTCTCTAAGAACAATTTAAGATATTAAAAATTTTAAAAATGTTTGTTTAGATTTTTCTAAATTGGATTTTTTTATATATAATAAAATCCGTATGAAATTTGGATTAGAATTCCTGTGACCCATTACTGAGAAAGAAGATAAGAAATGTATTTTCTTGTTGAGAGAAATACTGTAAAAGTGATGTGCAAAAGAAATTGTGCCCTCACTGAATTTTAAGTAAGTTAATTGTAAGTTAATTTTTCTTTGTTGCTTAAAAAAGCAACAAAGGAAAATTACTGACAGATAAAATGCTTTTCTTTTTGGCAAAAAAAGTTTTTTTTCCTTAATGACTATCACTTTTCACCTGATAACAACTATTTGAATTATAGATACACTGGCAAGAAAAAAATGGTAACCTGTCAGCTGTATGCAGAGAAACTGTGGAAGGTATCTGCGTAAAGGGTGGAACACGTGAGGAAAATGTTGGAAGAATATTCGTTGAATGAATAAAGAAAAAAATCGATGAACTCGTTTGTCCTCTCTTACTTAAAGCATTTATATTTCTATTGTAATTTAGTGTTTTTTAATATTTATTATTAGGTTAACATGGATGTCTGTTTTGGTAGTATTCTTTTATTTTTTCATTGATCATAGTATCTTTAAGTCAATATTGTAATTTCTCTGAACTTTTTAAACCAACAGGAAGTAAATATGATGATAGTTGTTTTTATAAAGAGCAAAATGGATTATATTCTGAGTTACATAAGCAACTTGAAAGTTTGTTCCAATAATTTAAATGTCTTCTGTTTCTATACTCTATATTATTTGTTGTTTTACTTTATATGTATCATTTCCATTTTTAACATTTGCTTCATATGCATAATAGTTATTTGTTTATGGAAGGCATCTTACCAATGTAAATCTTTAAAGTGTATTTCTTATGAATTCCCTGCAGCAACATATACATGGTGGAAGATATAATCAGTTCTCTAAATGTATCAGTTTCTTTTAAAATTCACTTATAAAACTAATTTCAGACTTATTCAAACACTTACTCAAGACAGCTACATTTTAAAATAATGTTTATTAGTTTGAAAATTTAACATTTTTACTAAGAATAATTTCTCTAAACTGAGATTAAGTCAACTATTGTGTATGTGCTTTTTTATATGTTATTTAAGTAGAGTTTTATAATAATTATGTGAGGTTGACAATATTATTCCACTTTTTACATAAGAGAAAGAAAGTGAGACTCAGATGTTAAATTACTTGTCTAAAGGTTCCTCTTTATAAGTAAAGTCAAGAAATAAACGTGAGGACAAGGAAATAAAGATCTCTTTTCTTGCAACAAAGGAAGAAATGTAATTGAATTACTTACATATCTCAAATAATAATGTGCTCACTTCATATTCAATATCATGTAACCTTGATAATAGTATACTAAATACTTTTCAACTTTATTTTACTGAATAGCTAAAACATATCATAGTCCTAAAAGAAACTCTAGAAAGCAAAAGTCAGCTCAATTTATTCAAAAAATAATTAAAAGTTTAACAGAACATTCATTTCCCTCAGGTTGGCGTGACTTCATTTCTGCTATTATTTCTATTTTCATTCTGATGATCAATCAAGTTATGCACAGCAACCTGTCAAAATGTGCTGTATTAGCAAATCTGGAATGCTTTACTCATCTTTCCCCTCAAAGCCCGCAGGTTTTAATAGAACAAGCAAACTCAAGTTGGTATTTGTAAGGAAGTAAAAGCAGAAGAGTAGATCAACATTATCTTGCTTTGATATTTATGATTTTTTTCTATTGGTCACAAATGTGTTTGGTGATCACAGTAACTGCTTTGTTCAATCAAACATTTTCAGAATTCTGTATGGAAACATATGTTACAATTTTAACCAAAATGAGAAGGAAACATGCATTTTTTATTATGTAAATCCTACAATGACTCCCAGCAGTCTGTAATAAACAACTGATGTAAACTCCTCTTTAGTTAGGAAGAAACAGTCTTGCTCATTCAACATTTCCTCTGTAGTTAAACTCTTTCAAGTTCATTTATTTCATGCTAACAGTTTATTTTACTTCTTCAATAATTAGTAACTTTTGTCAACGAATGAAAGAATGGCACATACAAATTCCCAAAAATGACAAGAATTCATTAAATATTCAAAAGTATTAACATGAAAATATTTTCTAATCACTTATTTACTAAGATTATCTGTTACGCTATTTACAGCAGTTAGGCTGGATTCTTCTGCAAATATCAAAAGACTTAATCAAATACAGGCTTAAGAGTAAAATTTAATTCTTATAGATAATAAAATTTATTGGTCTATATAACAAGAATTCTGGAGAAAGGATGGATTCAGATTGGCTAATTTTGCACCTCTATGTTTCCCATCAATGTCATATGATGGCTGCAGAAATTCTAGCCATCATTATTATACTCAGCAACATCCAAAGGCACAACAATTGAGAGAATCCTTTATCTATATATTTTTAAAATAAAGAAAATTGTATGGGAAGTGCTTCAGCAAATATCTCCTTACTTTGTATTTGTCAAGTTTGCATCACATGCTCACAACTGAAGCAATCACTAGCAAAGGGAAAAGACTTTTGTGAATTGCTGATTCCTTGGTCAAATCAATGCCAATGAATGAATAAAATCTGGCTTCAGCTATCAAAAAATAGGGGAGATGGATGCAGAGATAACTTTGGTTAGGCAAACAAAAGTTACTGCCAGCCAGTCCTTTTGTGATGTTAAAATCTTTAAAGCACTTTCTTCTTCTTTTGTAATGTGTATTATCAAGGAACAAACCTAAATTTATTGGTTCCACTAATTCCACAAAGACAATTAATTTGCCCCCTCTGGTTGTTATTCTGTAATCGTAATATCCTGACGAGTCTGAACCATGATCACACTACCATTTAGTTACTAGATATAAACATATATTGAAAATAATTAGAAACATGACAATGAGGTAGAGAATGAACTGTTAAGTTGTGGGTTTTGTTTTTTAGATAAATAAAACACAAGAGGGAAAATAATATGGCAATGGCATTATTCTCACACAAAAAAAGAGATTAATAAGGATTCAGGCTATGGTGGAAAGCTTTCTAGATCTAGACATTGTGCCCCATAATGAAGTATAGGTGGATTTTAAATAACGGAATTGCAGAAATGAAGTTTTGATACTGATGAAAGTAGAATGATCAGATACATGGAAACAGGGCGAGCTTAGTAGATGGAATCTAATTTGAAGTTAGTGGAGAGTTAGGAGCATATGAGTCTTGGGTACAAAAGTCTGAATTTGAAATCAGATGTTCTCTGAGTTTAAGATCAGAGTTCAAGATAACTTTCATATTGCCGTTTCTTCAAATCAAACCACATGTTCCTATGGAAAGAACAAAAGCATGTTGAAGTATCAGCTACTATTAGGTGATCCATACATACAAGTTCCTCTTTTCCTGTGAGATGCAAGTTATATACATGTTTATGCATACATATATACATATGCACACATATATGTATACTGTGTGTACATATATATAATATATACATATATGTATTACATACTGCAGAGAATAAATATATATACATATACATATATGTAATACACATACATATGTACATAGACATATATAACATATGTAAAAATATATAATATATGTAACATGATACACATACATGTGTATACATGTATTTAACATGCATGTAAATATACATACATGTAGTATATATGTATGCATGCTGCAGAGAATAAATATACATATGTGTAATATATACACACACACACATATACATATATATATGTAATCTTATCCATAGCTCTAGGTCAAAAACTTTGAGTATTTATTGGCACACAAAATTCATAATAAACTTAAAAACTGAGACTCAAATGAATTAACTATCTCAGAAATTTGTTGATTTAAAATCCATGTGCAGAAATATTTCCAGTAAGAAATCTTTCTTTGTGTTAATGTGATTTGCAAGAGCGACTATCCCGGGATAACTTTAGCGTTTCCATCAAATATTAATGTATTGGTTGCTTAAACTGTGTGGATGAATACCATTTTTAAAATTTGAAGTATTAGTATATAAATACTATTTTCTAAAGTTAGAACTGTTTGAAACTATATGGAGCTAAGAAGCTATCGATTGTTGTAATGAACTGAATCCTGATGAGTTTTTGGACAGTATTTTCTGTTAAAACTTCATTAAAGAATTAATTTAAGAATAGTTGAAAATAAAGAGCAGATGATCCATTAGAAAAGAATCTACCAAGATATCAATGTCTTTTGAAACTTAATAGCATTAAACAGGCAGCCTTAGAGTTGAGTCAAGAGCAAGTCTTTATATGGCTGCATGTTATTAACTCATACCTGTTAATAAACAAGCATCTCCATCTGTTGTGTGTTGACTGTTCTCTGCAGACCTCACGGACTCATGTTTTATTAATACATGTCAATGTTCCAGTGTAAATCAGAAAGGGTCACCCAAATACTTTGCAAACTGCAGAGTTGTTTAAACTAAATAAAAGTGCATCCAGCATGACAGTCTTGTATGAATTACTTTTAAGTTTATTATATTATGTGGCGTTATCTCACTAGATAAAACTTTCATTTGTCTTAATTTCAGGTTGCACATATAAATTCAGATTTGTTTCCCACACTTTATGTGTTTCAGTTTCATTTACACATGTGATAAGCAAGTTCAAAAATCACATTTTATGTAATTCTCACTATTTAAATTCCTCTTTTTGCATAAATGCCAAATACATCTCAAATATATATGTAGTTTGATCAGAGAACAACTACAATAATGTTTTCTCTTTCAACTTTCTATTCACTCTTTTTACTATAACATCAATAAATCAAAATTATTTTCCAGGTAAAAATGGTATTTATTGTTTGTAATAACTGAAGTTAATCCTTATTCTTGTCTAAAAATGAGAAGAAATGTAAAGTAAAAAACAAATTATCACATTGTTCATTTCTCTGAGCAGATATCTGTAGTCTATAGAGTATAGCTTATTATTTCTTAACTCAAGTACTTTTAAGTGTCTACTTTGGCATGTATTAAATACGAACCAATTTTAAAACTTTTACTTTATTCATTAAGTACTTGTTGGGATTTTAAGTTTCAGGCACTGTGCTGAGCTCTAGACATGCACTAGAGTCCCAAATAACACATGGCTTTTCTACTCACAGAGGGAGTGCACTACTGAGTCTGGGAAACAAACAACATTAATTAATAATTAGTCAGCTATTAATTTGTTAAAATAGAAAAATACATTTGGAAAAAATGTATGCACATATAAACTTTTTCTTTTTTCTTAGCTCAGTATATATCAGTGTTTGTAAAATAGGAACTTCTGGGTAAAAGTTTTAGAGAAAGTGTTAATTTATGAAGGGCAAAAGGGGAAGGGTTGTAAGAAATAAAATTAACTAGAGGAGATAAAAACTCAGACTTCTTGGCAGGAAAAGACCAACATGTTGGCCCTGAGTACAAAATGTCATCTCTCCAAAATGTCTGAGTTTTTTCCTCTCATTTTGAAAGTCATAAAGTGTCTACCAAATACAAGAATTTGGATGAACAAACATCCTGTTTTAAAATTAGAAATACTCCTGGGATGAGGAGAAGAAGAAGAAGAAGGAGGAGGAGGAGAAGGAGGGGGGGAGGAGGAGGAGGAGGGGAAGGAGATGACACTACTTTGCTTTCTTATTATAACCTGAGATGAGCAATATTGAAAGATAGGCCATGATGATAATGGGAAAAGGGAGGCAGACAACTTTAAAATAGTGTGAATTTTGCCAAGGATGGGTTGGGCCAGAGTAGTTGTCCTTCAGGGTCTTTTAGGGCTTATGAAGTCTCATGAGAGTCACAGGAAAAGCAACGCTGGACAGTGGGGAAGGCCACCATGAGTAAAATCAAAACAAACAACCTGGCCACAAAAGAAAGGGGCCATTTTCTCTCCAAATTCTTTCTCCAGGGACTCAGGAATAATATATGGATAATATCAGCCAAATAATGGGTTAAAGCAGATATTTGTGCCTTGCTTAGGAAACACTAAAATTTAAACTAGTTTATACATAAAAATATGCTCTTCATCCCAAACAACTAACTCATAAATACACTTTTGGAATACAACCCATTCATAAATTGTGGTCTCTTCATATAATTACATTCAGACAAAAATTCTCTGACTCATAAACAAATTAAACAAATAAATTCCTTCTGAAACATCTGTTAGTATGAATTGCAATCTTGTACACCAGCCACAAGAAGCCTTATAATAACATGTGTGGTACAAGCTTAACATATGAACAACATGAAGTCATGAGCTCTGATGGACTTGCTTTGTCATGATTATTTATTTATACCCTTTCCCCCAAATCTTAGTAGAAGTTTTTAGAGCAGTAGATGGTGACTTCATTTCTTTCTTGAATAATCTGGAAGAAACATTATTTTTGAAGATGATAAACTCTGAGTCTATTACTGATCACCTTATCTTTCATTTCTTAATGTACTTCCCCCCCAAATTCATTTACATTTTTATAGTTTAAATTAATCAAATCCACTTCAGTGAAAGCAGCGACTTTACTGCAGAGAATAAATCCAATGGCTACTTATCACAGATTTTAGGAAGTAGTTGATGCCAGATAACATAGGTATAAAGTAGAGAAAGAGTGTCATTGGACAAATGTTTAAATTGGTTAATAAGACAGCTTACCTCAAAAATAATTTGGCAAACCTAATATTTAAAAGTGATAATGAGAAAAGCTAGACAGTATAGCATATATGTAATAATATATATCATAATACTTGCTAATAGTTATTTGGTGCTTAAAATATCTGAGTCCTGTTCTAAGGCTATATAGAAATGTGATATCATTTAATTTTAGCAAATAAAACCCTGTGAAATAGGCAGCAGATTAATGAAAGCTTTAAAATGAAGAAGATTACATAGAAAAAGTTTAAGCATCTTGTTCAAAGATATAAAGCTAGCAAGTGGCTCAAGTGGATGTAGCTAAATGGTAGAGTATATGTGTATCATTTTATGTGTGCAAAAGAAATATTTTGCATAATTAATTGTTAAATGATGTAGATAATATATCAAAGCATATGTTAAACAACTTATGGGCTTATTGAAGAATTTAAGATTTTACTTCATTACTTTATGTCTAGGAGTTCTTAACTCTAAAGACTATATTGTAGGGATTATTTCTCTACATTTTTATATTTCAGAGCATCTTTGTTACTGCAAATCAAAAAATATTTTTGTCTCATCAATAAAGTGTACTTTTGCAGATACTGTAGGAATTCTATTTAAATTCTAAGAGGAATGAAGGAATGAAATATAAAAGGGAAGGAAGGATGTAGGAAGACAACGATTGGGAGGGAGGAAGGAAAAAGGAAGGAAGGAAGGAAGGAGGGAAGGAAAAAAGGAAACAAAGGAGGAAGGAAGGAAAGGAGGAAGACACAGTAAAAGTAAACCATTTGAGTTGTTCATGGTAGACATATCTCTTGCCATAGCCACTTAGGAAATCAAACCAATACATACATGTGTGTAATGAGGTGTAATAGAGCACAAGAAAGATATAAATAAATTGAGCAGTAAGTACACCCAAAGGCAGTAAAAGTATGTAGAGATACCAGTCCAGGTAATATAGGTAGGCCTTAAAGGATAAATATGTGTAGCTGGTTAAGACGGATATGATAAAATGCAAACTGCAATTGCATAGAACTTTCCTTACTTTACCTAATGTAAGTAAACATTATAACATATAGAAGAAAAGCAAAGGATAAGACTTTTTAAAAGGTGTTTTGGGACTCTATCAGTTATCTATCACTGTTAATAAATCACTCCTAAGGTTGATGAACATATAATCAAGCATTCATTATGTCTTACAAACTTGTGGTTTGACCATTTAGGTTTAGCCAGACAGTCTTCTTCTTATGTCTGGGGTCACTCTGTAGGCAGCTGTTCATTTGACTAGGACTGGTTGTCCAAGGTAGCTTTACTCACATGTTCGCTGTTGTGTCAGCTGTTGGCTGGGCAACCCTGGTTCTCCTCTGTATGTGTTTTCTTCTCCCATAAGGATAAATTGGACATTTTAAATGAAGTAGAAAATATTCCTAGTTGGTGAAATCAGCAGCTGCAATGCCTCTTAAAGCCTAACCATAGAAGGCACACGATGTCACTTCTGTAGCATTATATTGGTCAAGATGAGCTACAATGCCAACTCAGATGTAAGATTTGGGGAAAAATAGACTTCCCCTCTTGTTAGGAGCAAAGTTATATCACTAAGAGGCCTAGAAACAGAAAGACATGATGCATGATGGGCCATTAATATAACAAAGAGACCAATTAAGTGTTTGGCAACATGAGTGAATTATTCCAACAGCATACAAACATGATACTAATTTTCCATTTTTTAAAGACTTCCCATTCAGATAATGGTGGAGTCTGGATCTGTGACCCTACCCAAATCTCACCTTGGATTGTAATCTGAATTGTAATCACCACGTGTTGTGGGTGGGACCTGGTGGGAAATGATTATATCATGGGGGTGGTTCTCCCATGTTCTCCTTGTGATAGTGAGTGAGTTCTCATGAGATCTGATGATTTTATAAATGGCAGTTTTTCCTGCACTCACACACTCTCTTCTGTTGCCATGTGAGAAGGTCCAAGCTTGCTTCCCCTTTGCCTCCTGACATGATTGTAAGTTTCCTGAGGTCACCCCAGCCATGTGGAACTGTGAGTCAATTAAATCTCTTTTCTTTATAAATTATCCAGTCTCAGGGTGAAAATGGACTAATACAGATAACTCAGTTTTGTTTGTTTTGGTAAATCACCTTCAAATAGTAATCTCTTCTCACAGTCTATCTCTCTTCCTATTCGCTTTTAAGCCCAATCCTATTAGGGTTTATTTGTCACGAGTCCACCAAAACTTCTGGTCAAATACATCCATGACATCCACGTTGTTAAATCCAATTACCAGTTCTCATTCCTCCTCTTCTTTGACCTATCATCAGCATTTTACACAGCATAATATTCCTCCTTTTTGTTCTTCACTTTCTTTCTCGGATACCACACTGATGTCCATTAGAATGTATACTGTTCAGATTTCCTTCTGTAGGGAGCATAATAGAAGGGCTGCCTGCCGCAGCACTCCTGGATCCATTTCTGTGATTGTGTTGATTCCATGCTTCCAGTGGGCTTCCCCCAGCCAATGGCTGAGCACAGTATCAGTAGATAATCTCAGTAGATTTTATCATATATCCCTGAGAGAAAGAGTGCCTCAAATGGAGATGTTGTTTTAGCCTGGGGTGGGGGCGGGGTGTTGTTCTTCTTAAAATTAGGTTGATTCTATTTCTGTTTTTTTCTAGTTTTGTTGAGGTATAATTAACAAACAAAGTTGTATAGATTTAATACACTTAATGTGTACAATGTGATCATTTGACATATATATACATTGTGAAATGATTAACACCATCAAGTTAATTAACACATCCATCACCTTACAGTTACCTTGTTTTGTTTTCCATTAGATGAGACTGCTTAATATCTAATCTTTTAGCAAATTTCAAGTACTGAATACAGTTTTATTAAGTAGAGTCATCAGGCTGCACATCAGAGCCTAAGACCATATTATTATATAACTGAAAGTTTGTATCCTTTGATCAACACCTCCCCATTTTCCTCACACCCCAGCCCCTGGGATCATCATTATACTCTGTTTCTATGGTTTGACTTTTTAAAAGTTTTAGATTTCACATATAAGTCATATCATACAGTATTTGTCTTTCTCTGTCTGGTTTATTTCACTTAGAATAATTACCTATAGGTTCTCCCCTCTTGCTGCAAATGGCAGAATATCCTCCTTTTTATAGCCAAATAATATTTGTGTGTGTCTGTGTGTGTATATACATGACAAATTTTATTTATTCATTCATCTGTCAATAGACACTTAGGTTTTTCTATATTGTGACTATTGCATATAATGCTTCAGTGAATAAGGTAGTACAGATATCTCTTCAAGATAGTGATTTTATTTCTTTTGTTTATGTATTTGAAAATGAAATTGCTGGATCATGTGGTAGTTTTACTTTAAATTTTTTGAGGAACCACCACACTGTTTTTTATAATGTCTGCATTAATTTACATTCCCACCAACACTGTACAAGAGTTTCCTGTTCTCCACATCCTTTCCAATACCTGTTATCTTTTGTCTTTTTGGTAGTATTTGTACTAACAGGTATGAGGTGATATCTCATTGTGGTTTTGATTTGCATTTCTCTGCTGATTAGTGAGGTTAATGTACCTAGTGGACACTTTTATATATCTTCTTTGGAAAAATGTTTACTCAGATCCTATGCCCATTTAAAAAATCAGATTATTTGAGATTTTTTACTGTTGAGTTGTATGAGTTCTTTATACTTTTTATATATTAACTTACCGGATACATGGTGTGCAAATGTTTTCCCCATTCTTCAGGTTGCCTTTTCTTTTTCTTTATCTTTTTTCTTTTTGGCCATGCAAAAACTTTTTCAGTTGATGTATTCCGTTTATTTTTACTTTCATTGCCTGTGCTAAGACAATATCAAGAATCTTTTTCCATAAGACTTTTTCTTGGAGTTTTACAGTTTCAGGTCTTACATTTGTCTTATGCCATTTTGAATTGACTTTTGTGTATAGTATAAGAAAAGTGTTTATTTTCTCCCCCCACCCCCTGACACCCCCGTGACTATCCAGATTTCTGAACATCATTTATTGAAGAGACTATTCTTTACCCATTGTGTGATCTTAGTGCAGTTGCCAAAGATTAGTTGACCATATATGCATGGGTGATTTCTGATTTCTGAGCTCTCTATTCTGTTTCATCAGCGTATGTGTCTGTTTTTATGCCAGTACCAAACTCTTTTGATTACTGCAGCTTTGTAATACTATTTGAAATCAGAAATGTCATGTCCCTAGGTTTGTTCTTATTTCTCAAGATTGCTTTTGTGGTTCCACATGAATTTTAGGATATTTTTTCCATTTCTGTGAAGAATGTCATAGGAATTTCGATAAGGATTGTGTTGAATCTGTAGATTGCATTGGGCAGTTTGGACATTTTAACAATATTCATTCTTCTAATTCAAGAACATATATCTTTCCTTTCATTTGTATCTTTTTACATTTCTTTCATCAATGCTTACAATTTTTGGTGTACAGATCTTTCACTTCCCTGGCTAAATTTATTCCTGGGTACTTTTTTCTTCCTGATGCTATTGTAAATGGGATTGCTTTTTAAATGGCTTTTTCAGGTAGTTCATTGTTACTGTATAAAAACACAACTGATTTTTTGTGTGTTGATTTTGTATCCTGCCACGTAACTGTGCTGCACCCATCAACTCGTCATTTAAATTAGGTATTTCTCCAAATGCTATCCCTCCCCCAGCCCCCGACCTGTCGACAGGCCCTGGTATGTGATGTTCCCCTCCCTGTGTCCATGTGTTCTCATTATTCAACTCCCAATTATGAGTGAGAGCATGTGGTGTTTGCTTTTCTCTTCTTATGTTACTTTGTTGAGACTGATGGTTTCCAGTTTCATCCATGTCCCTATAAAGGACATGAACTCATCCTTTTTTATGGCTGCATTGTATTCCATGGTGTGAAATCATGTTCTCATCTGTATGACACAGATGTTAATATTGTCCTTATGAAATTATTGTGAGAATAAATAATATAGTATATATGAAACACTTTAACATGTATGATTATAAAGTAGTTGCACATGCAATCGTAAGCTAACTAGAAAAAAAAGTATTAATTTTCTCTTATCTACTGCATTCTCTAAGAAAGCTTTAACTATTCAAATGTGTATTTTTTTAATCTCAAAAATTTATTTTGCAAGTTCAGATGTTTCTGCATCTCATGTTCGTAAAGAAGCATATTCTAAATTTCTTTTCAGAATCCTAAATTAAGAATTCTCTAACCTCAAATTACATTAACAATATTGCACAATATACTAATAAACAGGCAGAAAGTGACTGTGTTCTCAAATCTCCTACTTACAAATAAAAATGATAGAATGTTTATTCATAACTAATGAAAACTAACCTGGTATAGGTATACAAAATTAAAAAGTAGATACTGGGAATATTTAAAACTTTAACATTGTATTTTTATTAAAATACCGCCCTAAAATTATTTCAGGATTTTGTTTCATTTGCATAAAGCCAACTTAAAATGCCTCAATAGTTATCTGATAACTATTTCAGTTTATGACAATGAAGTATCAGAATTAGTCTGAATTTTTTAAAAAGTGAGTCAATAAATTCATATTTCCTAAGTTCCAACTATGATAAGCTGCAAATAACATTTTAATAATACGTTAAATTAGAAATTTAGACTGAGACCCTAAATTTTGACATTCCAATTACTGACTAACATATAAAATTATCAAAAATTAAATATCCAAAACCACTTTGGTGACAGTCAGTCCCCTCTCTCAGAGCTAGGGTATAAATGTTGGTGATTCAGAGACAGATTTACAAAGGTGCTCTTTGTATTCTGGGAGTTTACCTTTTCTTCCAGGGGAGAAAAGTAAAGGGGTGCTTTCTACTCCATCCAGCCTAATAAGATGGGTTTTAACAGCATCTGTCAGAGACCTAGATGTGACTCCTCTGCAGCTGGGAGCAGGCCACACTGGTGAGCAGCTTCGGTTGGAAAAAATCTAAGGTGATTTCTGGCTCACATTTTATAATACAAATCGGGGAGAATGAATTCAAAGAGTGCGTATGTATATGCATTTTTCTTTTTTAATATTATTTAGATGTGCCATTTTTAATGAACCTACTTTTAATTTCAGTGTGATACTTGAAAAATGATACTTTATTTTACTTTGGAGTAATTATAAAAGCGGGGAGGAGGAGCCAAGATGGCCGAATAGGAACAGCTCAGGTCTACAGCTCCCAGCGTGAGTGACGCAGAAGATAAGTGATTTCTGCATTTCCATCTGAGGTACCGGGTTCATCTCACTAGGGAGTGCCAGAGAGTGGGTGCAGGTCAGTGGGTGCACACACCGTGAGCAAGCCCAAGCAGGGCGAGGCATTGCCTCACTCGGGAAGCACAAGGGGTCAGGGAGTTCCCTTTCCTAGTCAAAGAAAGGGGTTACAGACGGCACCTGGAAAATCGGGTCACTCCCACCTGAATACTGCGCTTTTCCAACGGGCTTAAAAAACGGCGCACCAGGAGGTTACATCCCGCGCCTGGCTCGGAGGGTCCTACACCCACAGAGTCTCGCTGATTGCTAGCACAGCAGTCTGAGATCAAACTGCAAGGCGGCAGCAAGGCTGGGGGAGGGGTGCCCGCCATTGCCCAGGCTTGCTTAGGTAAACAAAGCAGCTGGGAAGCGCGAACTGGGTGGAGCCCACCACAGCTCAAGGAAGCCTGCCTGCCTCTGTAGGCTCCACCTCTGGGGGCAGGGCACAGACAAACAAAAAGACAGCAGTAACCTCTGCAGACTTAAATGTCCCTGTCTGACAGCTTCGAAGAGAGCAGTGGTTTTCCCAGCACGCAGCTTAAGATCTGAGAACGGGCAGACTGCCTCCTCAAGTGGGTCGCTGACCCCTGACCCGAGCAGCCTAACTGGGAGGCACCCCCCAGCAGGGGCACACTGACACCTCACACGGCAGGGTACTCCAACAGACCTGCAGCTGAGGGTCCTCTCTGTTAGAAGGAAAACGAACAAACAGAAAGGACATCCACACCAAAAACCCATCTGTACATTACCACCATCAAAGACCAAAAGTAGATAAAACCATAAAGATGGGGAAAAAACAGAGCAGAAAAACTGGAAACTCTAAAAAGCAGAGCGCCTCTCCTCCTCCAAAGGAACGCAGTTCCTCACCAGCAATGGAACAAAGCTGGACAGAGAATGACTTTGACGAGCTGAGAGAAGAAGGCTTCAGATGATCAAATTACTCTGAGCTACGGGAGGACATTCAAACCAAAGGCAAAGAAGTTGAAAACTTTGAAAAAATTTAGAAGAATGTATAACTAGAATAACCAATACAGAGAAGTGCTTAAAGGAGCTCATGGAGCTGAAAACCAAGGCTTAATAACTACCTGAAGAATGCAGAAGCCTCAGGAGCCGGTGCCATCAACTGGAAGAAAGGGTATCAGCAATGGAAGATGAAATGAATGAAATGAAGCGAGAAGGGAAGTTTAGAGAAAAAAGAATAAAAAGAAATGAGCAAAGCCTCCAAGAAATATGGGACTATGTGAAAAGACCAAATCTACGTCTGATTGGTGTACCTGAAAGTGACGGGGAGAATGGAACCAAGTTGGAAAACACTCTGCAGGATATTATCCAGGAGAACTTCCCCAATCTAGCAAGGTAGGCCAACATTCAGATTCAGGAAATACAGAGAACGCCACAAAGATACTCCTCGAGAAGAGCAACTCCAAGACACCTAATTATCAGATTCACCAAAGTTGAAATGAAGGAAAAAATGTTAAGGGCATCCAGAGAGAAAGGTGGGGTTACCCTCAAAGGGAAGCCCATCAGACTAACAGCAGATCTTTCGGCAGAAACTCTACAAGCCAGAAGAGAGTGGGGGCCAATATTCAACATTCTTAAAGAAAAGAATTTTCAACCCAGAATTTCATATCCAGCCAAACTAAGCTTCATAAGTGAAGGAGAAATAAAGTACTTTACAGACAAGCAAATGCTGAGAGATTTTGTCACCACCAGGTCTGCCCTAAAAAAGCTCCTGAAGGAAGCGCTAAACATGGAAAGGAACAACTGGTACCAGCCACTGCAAAATCATGCCAAAATGTAAAGACAATCGAGACTAGGAAGAAACTGCATCAACTAACGAGCAAAATAACCAGCTAACATCATAATGACAGGATCAAATTCACACATAACAATATTAACTTTAAATGTCAGTGGACTAAATGCTCCAATTAAAAGACACAGACTAGCAAATTGGATAAAGAGTCAAGACCCATCAGTGTGCTGTATTCAGGAAACCCATCTCACGTGCAGAGTCACACATAGGCTCAAAATAAAAGGATGGAGGAAGTTCTAGCAAGCAAATGGAAAACAAAAAATGGCAGGGGTTGCAATCCTAGTCTCTGATAAAACAGACTTTAAACCAACAAAGATCAAAAGAGACAAAGAAGGCCATTACATAATGGCAAAGGGATCAATTCAACAAGAAGAGCTAACTATCCTAAATATATATGCACCCAATACAGGAGCACCCAGATTCATAAAGCAAGTCCTCAGTGACCTACAAAGAGACTTAGACTCCCACACATTAATAATGGGAGACTTTAACACCCCACTGTCAACATTAGACAGATCAATGAGACAGAAAGTCAACAAGGATACCCCGGAATTGAACTCAGCTCTGCACCAAGCAGACTTAATAGACATCTACAGAACTCTCCACCCCAAATCAACAGAATATACATTTTGTTCAGCACCACACCACACCTATTCCAAAATTGACCACATAGTTGGAAGTAAAGCTCTTCTCAGCAAATGTAAAAAAACAGAAATTATAACAAACTATCTCTCAGACCACAGTGCAATCAAACTAGAACTCAGGATTAAGAATCTCCCTCAAAACCGCTCAACTACATGGATACTAAACAACTTGCTCCTGAATGACTACTGGGTACATAATGAAATGAAGGCAGAAATAAAGATGTTCTTTGAAACCAAAGAGAACAAAGACACAACATAACAGAATCTCTGGGATGCATTCAAAGCATTGTGTAGAGGGAAATTTATAGCACTAAATGCCCACAAGAGAAAGCAGGAAAGATTTAAAATTGACACCCTAACATCACAATTAAAAGAACTAGAAAAGCAAGAGCAAACACATTCAAAAGCAGGCAGAAGGCAAGAAATAACTAAAATCAGAGCAGAACTGAAGGAAATAGAGACACAAAAAACCCTTAAAAAATTAATGAATCCAGGATCTGGTTTTTTGAAAGGATCAACAAAATTGATAGACCGCTAGCAAGACTAATAAAGAAAAAAAGAGAGAAGAATCAAACAGATGCAATAAAAAATGATAAAGGGGATATCACCACCGATCCCACAGAAATACAAACTACCATCAGAGAATACTACAAACACCTCTATGCAAATAAACTAGAAAATCTAGAAGACATGGATAAATTCCTCGACACATACACTCTCCCAAGACTAAACCAGGAAGAAGTTGAATCTCTGAATAGACCAATAACAGCATCTGAAATTGAGGCAATAATCAATAGCTTACCAACCAAAAAGAGTCCAGGACCAGACGGATTCACAGCTGAATTCTACCAGAGGTACAAGGAGGAACTGGTACCATTCCTTCTGAAACTATTCCAATCTGTAGAAAAAGAGGGAATCCTCCCTAACTCATTTTATGAGGCCAGCATCATCCTGATACCAAAGCCGGGCAGAGACACAACCAAAAAAGACAATTTTAGACCAATATCCTTGATGAACATTGATGCAAAAATGCTCAATAAAATTCTGGCAAACCGAATCCTGCAGCACATCAAAAAGCTTATCCACCATGATCAAGTGTGCTTCATCCCTGGGATGCAAGGCTGGTTCAATATACGCAAATCAATAAATGTAATCCAGCATATAAACAGAACCAAAGACAAAAACCACATGATTATCTCAATAGATGCAGAAAAGGCCTTTGACAAAATTCAACAACCCTTCATGCTAAAAACTCTCAATAAATTAGGTATTGATGGGAAGTATTTCAAAATAATAAGAGTTATCTATAACAAACCCACAGCCAATATCATACTGAATGGGCAAAAACTGGAAGCATTCCCTTTGAAAACTGGCACAAGACAGGGATGCCCTGTCTCACAACTCCTATTCAACATAGTGTTGGAAGTTCTGGCCAGGGTAATTATGCAGGAGAAGGACATAAAGGGTATTCAATTAGGAAAAGAGGAAGTCAAATTGTCCCTGTTTGCAGATGACATGATTGTATATCTAGAAAACCCCACTGTGTCAGCCCAAAATCTCCTTAAGCTGATAAGCAACTTCAGCAAAGTCTCAGGATACAAAATCAATGTACAATAATCACAAGCATTCTTATAAACCAACAACAGACAGAGAGCCAAATCATGAGTGAACTCCCATTCACAATTGCTTCAAAGAGAATAAAATACCTAGGAATCCAACTTACAAGGGATGTGAAGGACCTCTTCAAGGAGAACTACAAACCACTGCTCAAGGAAATAAAAGAGGATACAAACAAATGGAAGAATATTCCATGCTCATGGGTAGGAAGAATCAATATCGTGAAAATGACCATACTGCCCAAGGTAATTTACAGATTCAATGCCATCCCCATCAAGCTACCAATGACTTTCTTCACAGAATTGGAAAAAAACTACTTCAAAGTTCATATGGAACCAACAAAGAGCCCGCATCGCCAAGTCAATCCTAAGCCAAAAGAACAAAGCCAGAGGCATCACATTACCTGACTTCAAACTATACTACAAGGCTACAGTAACCAAAACAGCATGGTACTGGTACCAAAACAGAGATATAGATCAATGGAACAGAACAGAGCCCTCAGAAATAATGCCACTTATCTACAACTATCTGATCTTTGATAAACCTGAGAAAAACAAGAAATGGGGAAAGGATTCGCTCTTTAATAAATGGTGCTGGGAAAACAGGCTAGCCATATGTAGAAAGCTGAAACTGGATCCCTTCCTTACACCTTATACAAAAATCAATTCAAGATGGATTAAAGACTTAAACGTTAGACCTAAAACCATGAAAAACCCTAGAAGAAAACCTTGGCATTACCATTCAGGACATAGGCATGGGCAAGGACTTCATGTCTAAAACACCAAAAGCAATGGCAACAAAAGCCAAAATTGACAAATGGGATCTAATCAAACTAAAGAGCTTCTGCACAGCAGAAGAAACTACCATCAGAGGGAACAGGCAACCTACATAATGGGAGAAAATTTTCGCAACCTACTCATCTGACAAAGGGCTAATATCCAGAATCTACAATGAACTCAAATAAATTTACTAGAAAAAAACAAACGACCCCATCAAAAAGTGGGTGAAGGACATGAACAGACACTTCTCAAAAGAAGACATTTATGCAGCCAAAAAACACATGAAAAAATGCTCACCATCACTGGCCATCAGAGAAATGCAAATCAAAACCACAATGAGATACCATCTCACACCAGTTAGAATGGCGATCATTAAAAAGTCAGGAAACAACAAGTGCTGGAGAGGATGTGGAGAAATAGGAACACTTTTACACTGTTGGTGGGACTGTAAACTAGTTCAACCATTGTGGAAGTCAGTGTGGCGATTCCTCAGGGATCTAGAACTAGAAATACCATTTGACCCAGCCATCCCATTACTGGGTATATACCCAAAGGACTATAAATCATGCTGCTTTAAAGACACATGCACACGTATGTTTATTGCGGCATTATTCACAATAGCAAAGACTTGGAACCAACCCAAATGTCCAACAATGATAGACTGGATTAAGAAAATATGGCACATATACACCATGGAATACTATGAAGCCCATAAAAAAATGATGAGTTCATGTCCCTTGTAGGGACATGGTTGAAGCTGGAAACCATCATTCTCAGCAAACTATCGCAAGAACAAAAAACCAAACACCGCATATTCTCACTCATAGGTGGGAACTGAACAATGAGAACACATGGACACAGGAAGGGGAACATCACACTCTGGGGACTGTTGTGGGGCGGGGGGAGGGGGGAGGGAGAGCATTGGGAGATATACCTAATGCTAGATGACGAGTTAGTGGGTGCAGCACACCAGCATGGCACATGTATACATATGTAGCTAACCTGCACATTGTGCACATGTACCCTAAAACTTAAAGTATAATAATAATAAATAAATAAATAAATAAATAAAGAGAAGACTTCTGGATTGGAAAGCAGAAAATGAGTGCAATTACGGACGGAATGCAGGGGGATTTAAACTGAATATTAATGTTCTATTTCTTAAGCTGGTGTTATAAAAATGTATAAGTACTGTATATATTTTTAAAATGCTACATATGCATATTTTGTATATTTTTATCTGATAAATTTTACATTAAAATATTTTAAGATAAAAAATAAAAAAATATAAAAGCAAAGAGAAAATGGAGCAGAGGGAGAGAGAAAATAGGAAAATGTAATCAATGTTTAATATAAAGAAAAATAGTAAGTTAGAGGGCAAAGCAAGTGAACTCTGCAATCCTTAGCGAGATAAGAAATCACACTGATGAACCACTGTAGTCAAAGGAAATTATTTTTCCTCAGAATCCTTCGCTTGGAATTCTAATGCTGTAATTGAAATGGAAGGCAGTGTGGTCTATATCAGCTAACAGAGGCACAGGAAATCAACCACAATGATCAACCACACAGGAGACAGAGGGGCAGTGGCTTTTGAAACTTTAATTTTATTTAGTTATGTGCTTAGAAAAGAAAAAAAGGGAGGAAACTGTGAATGCTTAGTTTTGAATATTAACTGCAAAAAATATTCTAACACAACAGAAGGAGATTGTGACAAATGATGAGTGCGTTTCAAACATTTAGAGAGTTTTATTTTTTTCAAATAAGAATAGATTCATCTGAGTGCCTCTGTGGTAGAAATATCAAGTTAACATCTTTTCTTTCTTACATTACAGATATAATTATGTATCTATACACAATTCTGTATCTGTATCTATATACAATTCTGGCTCGTTGCAAGTAAAATTGAACACACTGTCTTTAAAAATGCACCTACCTACATATGTACTTACACGCATATCAATTATAAAAAGTGAACACAGATCAATTAAATACAATTTTTCAAAACTTAGAGTTTAAAAAGCAACAACAGCAGCAACAATATTTAGGCTATTTCCCACACATATTTATTTTAAGAGGTTGTTTAATTTGCAAAACCTCCCAGTGCTGAGGGACTTAGAGCTGCAAAATGTTAGAACAGAAGGAACATCAGAGTTCATAAAATTCAACCTCCAATTATGTTGATATTACAATTGGAGGAAATGCAACTGATTGTGCTTGTTGTTTAATGTCACGGAGTTAGTGGTAAGCAGAACTGTTAAGTTGGCCCTAAGCTAATTCTGTGTACCTTACATGTTGGCAAGGATGTGGTGGGGTGAGGAGACAATGATGGTACCAACCTAGGAGAAAAAAGAAGTTTTATTGGAGGAACATGAAGAAAATATGCCTGCTCTAGGGCCTTTACCTACCCTAGGTGAGAAGGCTGGCTCGGGAGATGCAATGTGCTCTGTGTTGCATAAAGACAATTTATTACAACAGTTCACAAGAGACGTGTAATGAGACCGTGCAGGTAGGGTTACCTGGTAAAATACGAGACACACAGTTACTTTTTAATTTCAGGTAAAATTTCTTTCTTAGTATAAATATGCCCCATGCAATATTTGAGACATACAGATATTAAAAATGTATCATTATTTATCTGAAATTAAACTCTAATTGGGTTTCCTATATTTTCATTTGGTAAAACTGGCATCCCTACATTTAGGGCATTTCCAGAAAAGCAGGAATGCTGCCAGGCCTAGGCACAGCAAGAGAATACCCAGGTCTCCATGAACTCTCTGGGAAAGAATATAGTATCAATGATTTGTAGGGTGTGAAATGCTTTTTAAAGGCTAAAATGATTATCTATGTCTATTTTTAGAGACTTGTAATTTCTTAAAAAAATTTAACTTGGGGGTAAAAGTATCTTTCTGCCATTTTGTAGCTATCAGGAATGTATCAATATAGTATTATTTGATACAATAAATATTTGCAGAAAAACAATTATAAGACAATGATATGGGCATTACAAAATAATTATAGTTCTTCAGTTTAAAATTAAGTATTCTCTTCCCTATAATACATGGCTGGTTAGATTACTGAAATAGATTTTAAATCAGTAAACCATAAAGTAACCTTCAACTCTGCATTTTCTTGGTTATACTCAAGAATTTATATATTTTGGGGGAAAGATGAATTATTGAGTACTCCAAAGAGAATACTATAAACACCTTTATGCAAATAAACTAGAAAATTTAGACAAAATGGATAAATTCCTGGATACGTATACCCTCCCAAGACTGAACCAGGAAGCGGAATCACTGATTAGACCAATAACAAGTTCTGAAATTGAGGCAGTAATAAATCGCCTACCAACCAAAAAAAGTCTAGGGCCAGATGGATTTATAGCTGAATTCTACCAGAGGTACAAAGAGGAGCTGGTACCATTTCTTCTGAAACTATTCCAAGCAATTGCAAAGGAGGGACTCCTCCATGACAAAAAACAGCTGATATCATACTGAAGGGGCAAAAGTGGGAAGCATTTCCCTTGAAAACCTCCACAAGACAAGGATGCCCTCTCTCACCACTCCTATTCAACATAGTATTGGAAGTTCTGGCCAGGGCAATCAGGCAAGAGAAAGAAATAAAGGTTATTCAAATAGGACAAGAGGAAGTCAAATTGTCTCTGTTTGCAGATGACATGATACTGTATGTAGAAAACCCCAATATCGCAGCCCAAAAGCTTCTTAAGCTGACAAGCAACTTCAGCAAAGTCTCAAGATACAAAATCAATGTGTAAAAATCACAAGCATTCCTACACACCAATGACAGAGGAGCAAAGAGCCAAATCATGAATGAATTCCCATTCACATTTGCTACAAAGGAAGAAAATACCTAGGAATACAGCTAACAAGGGAAGTGAAAGACCTCCTCAAGGAGAGCTACAAACCACTGCTCAAAGAAGTCAGAGGGAACACAAACGAATGGAAAAACATCCCATGCTCGTGGATAAAAAGAATCAATATTGTAAAAATGGCCATGCTGCCCAAAGTAATTTAGAGATTCAATGCTATTCCCATTAAACTACTATTGACGTTCTTCCCAGAATTAGAAAAAAATATATATTTTAAAATTCGTATGGAACCAAAAAAGCACTAATATAGCAAGATAATCCTAAGCAAAATGAACAAAGCTGGAGGGATCACACTACCCAACTTCCAACTATACTACAAGACTACAGTAACCAAAACTGTAACCTCTGTTCCACTGGTCTATGTGTCTGTTTTGGTACTGGCATGGTACATCATCATTGGTGTGCAGAAATGCTACTGAGTTTTGTACACTGATTTTATGTCCTAAAACTTTACTGAAGTCATTTATCAGTTCCAGGAGGTTTTATTTGGTAGGGTCTTTAAGGTTTTCTAGATCTAGAATTGTATCATCAGAGAAGAGAGCTAGTTTGACTTTCTCTTTTCCTATTTGGTTGTGGGTTTTTGTTTGTTTGTTTGTTTGTCTGAGACAGAGTCTTGCTCTGTTAGCCAGCCTGGTTCAGTGGTGCGATCTCTGCTCACTGCAACTTCCACCTCCCAGGTTCCAGCGATTCTCCTGCCTCAGCCTCCCAAGTTGCTGGGATTACAGGCACCCGCTAACATGCCTGGCTAATTTTGTATTTTTAGTAGAGATGGGGTTTCGCCATGTCGGTTAGGCTGGTCTTAAACTCCTGACCTCAGGTGATCTGCCCGCCTTGGCCTCCCAAAGTGCTGGGATTAGAGGCGTGAGCCACAGCGCCCGGCTTGGTTGTGTTTTCTTTCTGTTACCCGATGGCTCTGGCTAGGACATCCTGTACTATGTTGAATAGGAGTAGTGAGACTGAGCATCTTTGTCTTGCTCCAGTTCTCTAGGAAAATGTTTCCAGCTTTAGTCTATTCAATATGATGTTGGCTATGGATTTGACATCATAGATGACATTTATTATTTTGAGATATATTTATTTGATGCCTAGTTTTGTGAGAGTTTTTATTATGAAAGAAATTTGAATTTTATCAAAGGCTTTTTTGTGTTATCTATTGAGACAAACATGTGGTTTTTATTTTTAATTCTCTTTATGTCTTGAATCACATTTATGGATTTGCATATGTACAACCAACTTTGCATCCCAGTAATGAAGTCTACTTGGTCATGGCGAATTATCTTTCAGATGTGCTGCTGGATTTTGTTGAGGATTTTCGCTTCTATGTTCATCAGGGAAATTGGCCTGCTGTTTTCTTTTTTCACCATGTCTTTGCCAGGTCTTGCCAATGTGTTACTGACTTCATAGAATGAGTTAGAGATTAGTTTCTCCTCCTCAATCTTTAAAATAGTTTCAACACAATTGGTAACAGCTCTTCTTTATACATTTGATAGAATTCAGCTTTGAATTCATCTGTTGCAGAGCTTTTTTTGGTTGGTAGATTTTTTTTTTTATTACTGATTCAATTTTGGGACTCAATATTGGTCTGTTCAGGGTTTCAATTTCTTCCTGATTCAATCTTGGGAAGTTGTGTGTTTCTAGGAATTGATCCATTCCCTCTAGATTTTTCTTGTTTTTGTGTATAGAGGTGTTCATAATAGTCTCTGGGGCTCTTTTGTATTTCTGTGAGATGTGTTGTAATGTCATCTTTGTTGTTTCTGATTGTGCTTATTTGGGTCTTTTCTCTTTTTTTCTTAGTTAACCTAGCTAGCAGTCTATTGATCTTGTTGATCCTTTCAAAAACCAACTTTTGGTTTTATTGATTCTATGCTTGAATTTTTTGCTCTAAATTTTGTTCAGTTCTGCTCTGATTTTGGCTGTTTCTTTTCTTCGACTAGCTTTAAGGTTGGTTTGTTCTTGTTTTCTTGCTCCTTTACTTGTTATATGAGATCATTATTTGAGATTTCCCTAACTTTTTGAGGTGAGAGTATGGCACTATAAACTCTCCTGTTTACACTGCATTTGCTGCACCCCATAGATTTTTGGCATGTTGTATCTCTGTTTTCATTATTTCAATTTTTTTTATTTCTGCCTTAATTTCATTGCTCACCTAAAAGTCATTCAAGAACAAGTTGTTTAATTTCAATGTAATTGTATGGTTTGGGGAGACCTTCTGGGTATTGAGTTCTATTTTTATTCCACTGTGGTCCCAGAGTGTGGTTGATATGTTTTGATTTTATTGAATTTATTGAGATTTGCTTTATCACTGAGCAAGTGGTTGATCCTGGAATATGTGCCATGTATAGATGAGAAGAATATGTATTGTATGTTTGATGGGTGGAGTATTCTGCAGTTGTCTATCAGGTCCAATTGGTCAAGTGTCAAATTTAAATCCAGAATTTCTTTGTTAGTTTTTTTCCTTAATGATGTCTTTAATGCTATAAGTAGATTGCTGAAGTCCTCCATTTTTATTCTGTGGCTTTCTAAGTCTTTTTCTGTCTAGAAGTGTTGTTTTGTGAATCTAGGTGCTCCAATGTTGGGTGCATATATATTTAGGTTTAATTACCTTGTTGAATTGAACTCCTTATTAGTATGTAATGCCCTTCTTTGTCACTTTTTACTGTTGTTGATTTAATGTCTCTTTTGTCTGATAGAAGAATTGTGACACCTGTTCTTTTTTGTTTTCTATGTATATGATAAGTCTTTCTTCAATCTTTTAAGTTGATTTATGGGTGTCATTATGTGTGAAATGGGTCTCCTGAAGACAGCAGATGAATAAATAGATAAGTCTAATTTTTGTAATGCAAGTTGCTACTCTGTGCCTTTTAAGTAGGGTTTTTCCATTGTTTATATTCAATATTAATATTGATATATTTGGTTTTGACCCTATCATAAAGTTGTTAGATGGCCGCTTTGTAGTTTCTATTGTGTGCTTACTTTATAGGGTCTGTGAACTATGTACTTCAGTGTATTTTTGTGGTAGCAGGTGTTATTCTCTTATTTCCATGTTAGAACTCCCTTAAGACTCTCTTGTAAGGCTGATCTAGTGGTAATGAATTTCCGTTCCCTTAGTACTTGTTTGTTTGTAAAAGATTGTATATCTGCTTCATTTATGAAGCCTAGTTTGGCAGAATATGAAATTCTTGGTTGGATTTTCTTGTCTTTATGGATACTGAAACTCCATTCTCCCCAGGCTTGTAAACTTTCTGCTGAGAAGTCTGCTGTTAGTCTGATGGTATTCCTTTTGTATGTCATCTGATATTTTACTTTAGCTGCCTTTAAGATTTTTTTCAGGCAAGGCACAGTGGCTCACACCTGTAATCCCAGCACTTTGGGAGACCAAGGCAAGTGGATCACTTGAGGCCAGGAGTTTGAGGCCAGCCTGGCTAACACAGCAAATACTGTCTCTATTAAAAATATAAAAATTAGTTTGGTGTGGTGGTATACTCCTGTAGTCACAGCTACTCGGGAGGGTGAGGCGAGAGTATTGCTTGAACCCAGAAGGTGGAGGTTACAATGAGCCAAGATTGTGCCACTGCACTCCAACCTGGGCAACAAGAAAGACTTTGTCAAAAAAAAAAAAAAAAAAAAAAAGAGAGAGAAAGAAAAAACAGAAAAGAAAAATAAATTGTTTTCTTTAGCATTGACCTTGGATATTCTGGTGACTATATGCCTCATGACATTCATTTTGTATAGTATTTTGCAGATGTTCTCAGGTTTTCTTCTAACTCTCTAGGGAGATTAGGGAGGTTTTCTTGAATTATTTTCTGAAATATGTTTTTCAGGATTTTTTTTCTCCTAATCTATCAGCAATGTCAATGATTCATAGGTTTGATCACTTTACACAATCAAAGACTGTCCATTTTTAAAATTTATTTTTCTTTTACATTTTTTCTGACTGGGTTAATTTGAAAGAATGGGCTTCAAGCACTGAACTTTTTCTTCTTCTTCCTCCAGTCTACTAATAAAGATTTCAGTTGTATTTTAAAAATAATTAAATAAGTTTTTCAATTTCAGCAGCTCTAATTCATTTTGTTTTAAGATGTTTGTCTCCTCTTTCATTTCTTGGATTGATTTAGAAGTTTCTTTGTGTTGATTTTCAACCTTGTCTTGGATCTTGTTGAGCTTCCTTGCAATCCGTACTCTCAATTCTTCATCTATCTTTTCTGTCTTTCCATTTTGATTAAGAACCATTGCTGGAGAGCTAATGTGATCCTTTGGTGGATCACAAAATTCAGATTTTTCATTGTGCCAGTTTTTCTGCACTGATTCCTTCTCATCTGGAGACTCTGGCACTTCTAACTTTTTACTTATTTTGTGGGACAGGATTTTCTTTATTCTTTCCCTATACTATTATTATTATTATTTATTTCCCTTTCCTCCTGCCAAAGGGAGTGACTGTAGCAAATCCTGGGTAGCGGCTTTGGCTTTGCTTCTTTGCATTTCTGTCAGCAGGTTTTACATTGGGCTGGGTTCAACCTATGAGCCAGTAGATGATGATGGGTAAGAGGTGCTGATGGGTAAGAGCCAGCTAAGGTGTCTGTGTTGTTTACCTGATCCTTGTTTACTAGGAGAAACTCTCTGTTGCCTCAGCCAATGGGCGGATCTGTGGAGTGCACAGTGGTCTCCCTGCTCAACCCGAGGGGTGTGGGGTAAAAATGGGTGGGCCCAGACCAGACAGGCCCACCTAAGGGTCTCTTGATGGCAGACACAAGCACCAGTGCTGAGGGCAAGTTCTGTAGATGATCATAAAGCCCCCAGAGGTGTGCCTAGGCATGGAGCTCTGAAATCTCCTTGGCCCCAAATTCTCTACACAGGGATTGAGGGTGGCCTAATGTCCTAATCCAAGACAGTGGGTGCTCCAGATGCCTGAAGGTCTGCCTGAGTGTAAAGCACAGAGGGCCCCACTTCAGCACAATATGCACAGAAAAGGTGGGGCAGTTGAGGCTGCTCATCTGGGAAAGTGGGTGCTCCAACTGCCTGGAGCTCTGCCTGGATATGAAGCAGACAGGGCCCCATTGGACCCAGATCTCTGCACAGGAAGGGTGAGGTGGCTCAGGCTGATGATCTTGGCAAGTGGGTACTCCAAATACCTGGAGATCAGCCTGTGCATAAAGTAGAGAGTGTCCCACTGCACCAGGATCTCTGTACAGGATGAATGAGGTCACCCTTGGGCTGCTAAATGAAGCAAGAAAGTGCTCTAAATGCTTGGAAATCTATTTGGATGTGAAGTGGAGAGGATCTCCTTGCACCAGGATTTTTATACAGGAAGGGTAGGGTGGCTCAGGCTGCCAATCTGGGCAAACAATTGCTTTGAATACCTTAAGATCTGCTTCAGTATGGAGCAGAGAGGGCCCTGTTGCACCATAATATATGTATGTCCAGTAAGGGTGGTGTAGCCTAGATTGCTAATCCAGGACAGCAGATGCTCCAAGAGCTTGGAGATCTGCCTAGGCATGGAGTGGGCTCCACTTTACCATGATCTATGCCCAAAATGGTTGGGCAGCTCAGGCTGCTGGTCTAGGCAAGCATGTGCCCTGAATGCCTGCAATTCTGTCTGGGGGTGAAGCCGAGAGGGCCCCATTGCACACTGCACCAGGATCTCAGGGGAGCAGGCTGGAGCACTCAGCAATGACACAAGCAGATCAGTTCCAGGTCATCAAACTGGACCAGGTTGCAAGTCTCAGTGCCCAGAAGTAACCACTGCTGCAGCAGCTCTCCTCTCACCCCAGCCTGTAATGGGGAAGGACAAAACTACGGTGCCTACTGCTGAAGACTTTCCACAGTTCTGGCTGTGGAGGCCCTACCCCACTCCAGAGCAAGTAGGCCAATCTTTGGTCTCAGACTAAAATGTCTGCACAGCCACACTGCAGAGTCACCAAAGAATGGCTGACTTGGTATGTACCTGAATTGAAAATGGCATCCTGCTCTGGGTCCTGGTGTGGGAAAATGCCTGCAGCATTTCCCAGTATCTTCTCCTCTCAGTGTCTCCAGGCTTTCCCCAAGTTAGCTCCAGGGATTGGGAGGAACAAAGAATTCTCCCTCAGCCTGGGTTGCTCAGATCCTAAGTGGAAAAGTGAGTCACAGAGGGAGGCTCTCTGCCTCTCCCACATACTGGGGCTTCACTCACTTTTATTAGCCCGATGTCAATTAGCATGTCAATGCTGTTTGCCAGCATTCTCCTCCCCAGATCTGAAGTGTCCTTCATGATTACAGTGGATTCCTGTTTTCCTTCTTGAATTAAAGCTCACAGAGTTGATCTTTATGCACTATCTTGCTATTTCCAATTGGCTGAAGCATCCTAAAGCCTCTAATCGGCCATCTTGGAAAAAAATTCTAGAAATTTAATTTTAGATATGTTGTTGCCTTAACTGCTATGATGTGAATGTTTGTGTCTCCCCCGAATTCATGTGTTGAAACCTAAACAGCCAGGCAATAGTTTTAGGAGGTGGGGCCTTTGGGAGGTGATTAAGTCGTCAGGGCAGAACCCTCATGAATGGGGATAGTACCCTTATAGAAGAGGCCCCAGAGAGCTCCCTGGCCCCTGCCACCACATGAAGGAGGACAAAGCTAGCATGTCTCATCTATGAACCAGATAGCAGGCCCTTGCCAGACATCAAATCTGCCAGTGCCTTGGTCTTAGACTTCTCAATCTCCAGAAATGTGAGAAATAAATTTTGTTGTTTATAAGCCACCCAGTTTTTGATATTTTAAGTTCCAACAGACTGACAATAACTCATTGCATACACCAATGGAGATGTTGAAAAATAAGTTTGATACATGCACCCAGAATTCAGGGGAGAGCTCTCAGTCAAGAGAAGTAAATTTGGGAGAAATTATCATATAAATTGTATTTAAATCCATGAGAATGGATAAATCACCTATAGAGTGAGTACAAGAACACTTATAAGAATAAGTTTCAAAAGTAAACCCTCATGCAAAACAGCTATATACCCTGTAAGGAAATAGTGGCCTTCAAAGTAAGAATAGAATCAAGAAGTTATGGGAAGGAGGCACTTCAAGAATGAGCAACGGAATATATTAAATGTTGGGGATGATTCAACATATTCGACTGAAAATTAGCCATTGCTTTTAGTAAAGTGGAACTTATTGTTGATCTTGGCAAAAGCTTATTTTAGTTTAAATTGGAAAATTAAGGTTTTTTTATTGAAGGAGCAAACTACTTTTGTTTATGTTTACCTGAAGGCATATATCTTAAGATATTATCTTAGGTCTATGTTGGTGATAGAAATAAAACAACAAATAAAATCTTTAAGTAGAGAAATCACGGCACAGCTGTTGTTCCACTAATCAAAGACATAACTGAAGCAGTGAACATTCAGAGAAAGTCAGCTAAATGATCAAAACAGTTCATGGTAATTTGAGATAAGAATATGTTTGTCTAAAAAGTTGAAGACAAAAAAAGTCTAACATATTTGAATATATGCAATAGAAAAGAAAAGGAAAATGATGATATTTTCCTAAATTCCTGATTATGTCACTTAGCAGATACCCTCTGATACTTAAAAAATGCTGTGTTTATGTATAACACATACACACACTCACACACTCAATTTAATCACTTAAAAGCCTTTCAAACGTGTAACCATACATTGATCCAACCATCATCTCACCCTCCCTCACACAATATCTTCACTGCTTTTTTACCCAATTTAGGTCAATGATGACTCGTCACAATCAGTCTTTTGCCTTGGTTTTCAAACTTTCTGGCCTCTTTGCTCTTTAGCATGTCCACTGAAAAAAAAATCAATTCTAGTTATATAAAATTCTGCATATTTTGCCCCAGCATCTGTCCAGCTGAATGAACACTGTTAGAAGAACACATAACTATACTGATTTATTTCCTTTTAGTTCATGACCACTTGCACCAAATGAGTCATTAGTGTAACCTAAATAATCCTGTTAAGTTTTCCTGTATACTTCCCTATACAAAAAGACTAACTCATCTAATTTGTTCTCATTTTCTTTTTCATCCTCATTTTCAGACAATGGCAAGGCTTCTGATTTCACCAAGTCATCATTAAGAATCAGGAAAAAAAAAGAAGGAAAAATAATGATATTTTTTCTCTGACAGATGACCCATTTTAAATTCATACATACTCATATACTCTGTTTTACATCTTGCCACAATTAAACTAATGTGTGTTCTGTTACCTAAGCTAGTCTATCCATCTAGGTACTAAATTCTGTGACTTTTGCTTTCTCTAACACAGTAGTTTTTCAATTATCCCCACTGTATCCTACATCAACATTTCTTTTTAGTGAAAATTTTCAGGTATATACCTAGCTATTTTGCTCATCTTACAATGAATTATCTTTAATATTCAACCTAATATGCATTGAATAAAATAGTTGTATAAACTTGCTCTCTCTAAACATATTTCTTACATGCTTTCCTGAACTCATTTCAATCAAACTTTGGAAAAGGAATGTTTACTGGAAAGTAATATAAAGGAAATTTCCGGAGGGCCATAAATGATCTGTATCTTATTTTGTGTTACTCATATGTATACAATTGTCAAAACTCATTGAATTGAACACTTAAGACCTGTGTTTCATATAATACATAAATTATACCTCAAAAAAAAGAAAAAAACTATAAGGTAGCCATAGAAGAAAGCACTGCTGTCAGCTCCCTATCTCCTACCAGAAAAAGAGCACCTATGGAGAGATTTCATTTTACAAAGGAGAACCCCTAAAAGGAAGCATGAGAGAGGACAAACCCAAAATAAAAAGAATTGACAGGGTGGTGGAAATACAATCAAGAATATAAATCTATCGATTTTAGGGATTCCAGTTTCCAAGTTGTATAATTTTGTCCTTCAGAGACGAATGTAACAGTTTACCCAGGCTAAGGAATTTATGGGCAGTTAAGTTAGGCAGGGGATTTGGCAAGTGGAATAGCTGAAACAATGGGACAATGATCAAAAAAAGGATGTTGTCTACATGTCCCTGGAAAGCAAGTGTAATTGAAGAAAGGGAGTGAGAACGTTAGTAAGAGAGGATATTTGGGCAAGAAAGTATTAATAACATATTGAGTGTAAGTTTGCCATGTACTGACAGTCATCTATACAGAACTTTAAAAGAACATTAACAATGGAGTGCAATTTATCTGCCATTCACTAGTTAAGTTACCCCCAATAAGTCATATTGCTCATCTACTACAATTTCATTTGCCATGGAAAAGATTTTCTGTGTATTCACATATTAGTGGCAATGATTGAGACAATTTATACAAAAGCATTCGATAGTCTATTAAACATGATTCAAATATAAGGGATTATCAGGAGATATTTTTCACCATCAAATGCCTAGCATTGTCATTAATAATTCTTTACAAAATGAACCAAATAATATATTGTAGCTATTTTTTATAAGCTGGTTTTCATTGACCCTTAAAAATATCTATCAAAATATGTTATGACACAAAGCTTTGTCAGGAAGCCATTCATTCATTTCTTTGAGCTAATCAAAGAAAGAATTTAGATTTTACTTAGAATACCTTTTCCTTTAAGAGATTTGCATGAAACTAGCAAACGCAGTAGCTTTAATCAGCAGTTCTTTGAAAAAGTTCTTTAACAAAAGCCTCACAGCAGATGATCACATAATAAAAAATGTGTCCATTAGCTAAACATTAACACAACACATTAACTGTATGTTTTCTTTGATTAACACATACATTCTCATAATGTGATAAATTATTGTGATTTTATTGTTATAGATGCATATAATTCTTTTTGTATATGTGTGTGTGGAGAGCAAATATTCAATTAGAGCTCCTGACTGAAAAACTATCATCTCATAAACTAAATAAATTATTTCAGGCTACAAAATTATTTTATGGTATGCATTATATTAGTCAAAATGTCAACCCAGATATAAAAAATTATCAGTTTAATTATGAAAGACATAGCTTCCCCTTTGATTTTTTTTCTACATGAAAAAGGCACATGTTACTTACACTTAAGATTTTTTCTACAAGTATATTTTAAAGAATTTGCTTTACTGAATGTCTTAAGTATCTACTATTTTATTCCTTTTCTATTTTTATTTTTGATACTCTTTCTGTACACAATAATATGGTATTTTTGGAAAAGGTTATGGATCTCTTGGCATATTAGTTTCCTAGGGCTGCCATAAGAAACAGCCACAAAGTGGGTGGTTTAAACCACAGAAATTTGACTCGGTTCTGGATACTGGAAGTTCAAAGTCAAGGCATAGGGAGAGCCACTCTTCTCTGATGGCTCCAGGGAATGATCCTTCCTCACCTCTTCCTAGCCTCAGGTGGTAGCTTTCAATCCCTAGTGTTACTTAGCTTTCAGCTACATCACCCCAATGTCTGTTTCTATCATCACATGACATTCTCCCTCTGTGTTCTTGGTGTCTCTTCTCTTCTTCTAACAAGGACACCAATCACATTAAATTAGAGCTCACTTTAATTGAATATCATCTCATCTTAATTTGATTTCATCTACAAAGACCCTATTTGCTAATAAGATCACACTCAGAAGTACTGCAGTTATGACATATCTACTTGGGGGAAACAATTGAGCCCATAACAGTGTGAATCTTGTTGAATACATGGAGAGCCAGTTGTAGGACTAATATTCTCTAAGCAGTTAAAATCAGAATGCATGAAGCTTCCAGATTGATCCACATCCTAGGTAGACATTAAAAGTCTCCTGGGAATGTCTGCAAGGTAAAAGTCAGAATGAGTTGTGCCTGGCATGAGACTTGGAAGTTAACTGTGACCTCAATTTCAGGGACTCTAAGATGAAGAGGATAATTTTTTTAAAAAGTCTTTTGTTTGGAAACAATAATAGATTCATAGGAAGTTTCAAAAATGGTATAGAGAAGTCTAGTGTATCTTTCACTCAATTTCCCCCAGTGGTTTTATCACATCTAATTATAGCCTAATAAAAATCAGGATGTTGACATTATTAAAAAATGTGTTAAATTCTGTCATTTCATTTCATGTGTAGAATCCTATAATTACCAATGCAATGAAGTTACAGAACGATGCCATCACCATGAAGATATCTCTCATACTATCTCTTTGTGGTCACACCAATCACTTAGCTCACCTAGTTATAGGATTTGAAGTCCTATAGCATTTAAAACAAATCAGATTTTTCTAAAGTGCACACATTAAAAAAAAATGCAACAGAATGGTCTGAGACTATTGTGTGGTTAAAGAGCTTAGCATCAGGTACTGGAATCATGTCTAAGAGGGCCAATTCCTGGCTGTGTAAGCAAGAAAAGTTTTTCAAATAATTTGAGTATTTGAGTAAATATGTAATTTTTTTTTTTTTTTCAGATGGAGTCTTGCTCTGTTTCCCAGGCTGGAGTGCAGTGACATGATCTCGGCTTACCACAACCTCTGTGTCCCAGGTTCAAGCAATTCTCCTGTCTCAGCCTCCCGAGTAGCTGGGACTACAGGCACATGCCACCATGCTCAGCTAATTTTTGTATTTTTAGTACTGATGGGGTTTCACTATGTTGGCCAGGCTGGTCTCGAACTCCTTACCTCATGATCCACCCACCCCGTCCTCTCAAAGTGCTAGGATTACAGGCATGAGCCACCACACCCGGCCCATATTTTTTTTATTTTATGTTCTGGGGTACATGTACAGAATATGCACATTTGTTACATAGGTAAACATGTGCCGTGGTGATTTGCTGCACCTAACAACCCATCACTAAGTTATTAAGCCCAGCATTCATTAGCTATTTTTCCTGATGCCCTCTGTCCACCACAGGCCTCAGTGTGTGTTGTTCCCATCCCTGTGTTTGTGTGTTCACATTGTTCAGCTCCCAAAAAGTGAGAACTTGCAGTATTTGGTTTTCTGTTCCTGCATTAGTTTACTGAGAATAATGGCTTCCAACTCCATCCATGTCCCTGCAAAGGACATGATCTTGGTCCCATTGATGGTTTCATAGTGTTCTATAGTGTATATGTACCACATTTTCTTTATCTAGTCTATCGTTGATGGGCATTTGGGTTGATTCCATGTCTTTGCTATTGTGAATAGTGCTGCAATGAACATACACATGCAGGTATCTTTATATAAGAATAATTTATATTCCTTTGGGTATATACCCAGTAATGGGATTGCTGGGCCAAATGCTATTTCTGGTTCTAGGTCTTTGAGGAATCACCATACTGTCTTCCATAATAGTTGAACTAATTTACACTCCCACCATCAGTGTAAAAGTGTTCCTATTTCTCCACATCCTCACCAGCATCTGCTGTTTCCTGACTTTTTAATAATCACCATTCTGACTGGCAAGAGATGATATCTCATTGTGGTTTTAATGTGCATTTCTGTAATGATCTGTGATGTTGAGCTTTTTTCTTATGTTTGTTGGCCACATAAATGTTTTCTTTTGAGAAGTGTCTGTTCATGTCCTTTGACCACTTTTTAATGAGGTTATTTGCTTCTTTCTTGTAAATTTCTTGAAGTTCCTTGTAGATCCTGGAAATTAGACTTTGTCAGGTGGATAGATAGATTGCAAAATTTTTTTCCTCTTCTGTACATTGTATGATCACTCCCATGATCATTTCCTTTGCTGTGCAGAAGCTCTTTAGTTTAATCAGATTGCATTTGTCACTTTTTGCTTTTGTTGCAATTGCTTTTTACATTTTCATCATGAAATCTTTACTTGTGCCTATGTACTAAATTTTATTGCCTAGATTTTCTTCTAGGGTTTTTATAGCTTTGGATTTTATGTTTAAGTCATTAATCCATCCTGAGTTAATCTTTATATAAGGTGTAAGGAAGGGATCCGGTTTCAATTTTCTGCAAATGGCTTGCCAATTTTCCCAGGAGTATTTATTAAATAGGGAATCCTTTCCCAATTGCTTGTTTTTGTCAGGTTTGTAGAAGATCAGATGGTTGTAGATTGCAGTCTCTATTCTGCTCTATTGTCAGACAAGCTGACTGCCAAATCAAGAATGCAAACTCATTTACAGTAGCTGCAAAAAGAAAAAAAATACCAGAGAATACATCTAACCAAGGAGGTGAAAGATCTCTGAAAGGAAAACTACAAAAGACTGTTAAAGGAAACCACAGGATACAAACAAACGAAAAAACATTCTATGCTTATGGATTGGAGGAATCAATATTGTTAAAATGGCCATACTGCCTGAAGCAATCTATAGATTTAGTGCTATTCCTAACAAACTACCAACCTCATTTTTCACAGAATTAGAAAGAAACCATTCTAAAATTCATATGGAATAAAAAAAGAGCCCAACTGGCCAAAACAATCCTAAATAAAAAGCACAGTGATGGAAGTATCACATTACACAACTTGAAACCATACAATAAAGCTAGAGTAACACAAGCAACATGGTACCAGTAAAAAAAACAGACACATAGACCAATGGAACATAATGAAGAACACAGAGGTAAAGCTAAACACCTACAGCCATCTGATTTAACACAAAGTTGACAAAAATAAGCAACAGGGAAAGAACTCCCTTTTCAATAAAAGTTGTAGTGATAGCTGGCTATTCATATTCAGAAGTGTGAAGCTGGACCTTTTCTAACACCGTATTCAAAAACTAACTGAAAATGGATTAAATATTTAAATGGGGCATCTCAAACTATGAGAATCCTAGAAGAAAACCTAAAAAATATCATTCTGAACATCAGCATTGGCAAAGATTTTATGACTAACTCCTCAAAAGCAACTGCAAAAAAAACCAAAAGTCTGCAAGTGTGACCTAACTAAACTAAAGAGCCTATTCACAACAAAAGAAACTATCAACAGAGTAAACAGACAACCTACAGAATGGGACAAAATAACTGCAACTACATATATTAGTTCATTTTCATGCTGCTGATAAAGACATGCCCAAGCCTGGGAAGGAAAATAAGTTTAATAGGCTTACAGTTCCACATGGCTGGGGAGGCCTCACAATCATGGCAGATGGCAAGGAGGAGCAAGTCAAGTCTTACATGGATGGCAGCAGGCAAAGAGAGAGTTTGTGCAAGGGAACTCCTGTTTTTAAAACCATCAGATCTTGTGAGACTTATTCACTACTGTGAGAGCAGCACAAGAAAGACACGACCCATGATTCAGTTACCTCCCACTGGGTCCCTCCCATGACATGGGAGAATTGCGGGAGTTACAATTCCAGATAAAATTTTGGTAGGGACACACTAAAACCATATCATTCTACCCCTGGCCCCTACCAAATGTCATGTCCTCACATTTCAAAACCAATCATGCCTTCCCAACAGTCCCCCAAAGTCTTAACTCATTTCAGCATTAATTCTAAAGTCTAAAGCCCAAAGTCTTATCTGAGAGAAGTCCCTTCTGCCTATGAGCCTGTAAAACCAAAAACAAGCTAGTTACTTCCTAGATACAATGAGAGTACAGGTATTGGGTAAATACAACCATTCCAAATGGGAGAAATTGGCCAAAACCAAGGGGTACAGGGCCTGTGCAAGTCCAAAATTGAGTGGGGCAGTCAAATCTCAAAGCTCCAAAATGATCTCCTTTTACTTCATGTCTCACATCCAGTTCACACTGATGCAAGAAGTGGGTTCCCATGGTTTTGGGCAGCTCTGTCCCTATGGCTTTGCAGGGAGGGAGAATACAGCCTCCCTCCTGGCTGCTTTCATGGGCTGGCGTTGAGTGTCTATAGCTTTTCTGGGTACACAGTGCAAGCTGTCAGTGGATCTACCATTTTGAAGTCTGGAAGACAGTGGCTCTTTTCTCACAGCTACGCTAGGCAGTGCCCCAGTGTGGACTCGGCTGTGGGGGTTCTCACCCCACATTTCTCCTTTGCACTGCCCTAGCAGAGGTTCTCCATGAGGGCCCCCTACAGCAAACTTCTTCCTGGACATCCAGGCATTTCCATACACCTTCTGAAATCCAGACAGAGGTTCCTAAACCTCAATCCTTGACTTCTGCACACTCACAGGCTCAACACAAAGTGGAAGCTGCCAAGACTTGGGGCTTGCATCTTCCAAAGCCATGGCCCAAGCTGTACCTTGGCCCCTTCTAGTCATGGCTGGATCAGCTGGAACACAGGTCACCAAGTCCTTAGGCTGCACACAGCAGAGGGACCCTGGGCCTGGACCATGAAACCATTTTTTCCTCTTAGGCCTACAGACATGTGATGAGAGGGGCTGCCACAAAGTTCTCTGACATACCTTGGAGACATTTTCCCCATTATCATTGTGATTAACATTTGGTTCCTCATTACTTATGCAAATTTCTCTGTAGCTGGCTTGAATTTCTCCTCAAAAAAGGAGATTTTCTTTTCTATAACATTGTCAGGCTGCAAATGTTCTGAACTTTTATGCTCTGTTTCCCTTATGAAACTGAATGCTCTTAACAATGCCCAAGTCACCTCTTGAGTGCTTTGCTGCTTAGAAATTTCTTCTGACAGATACCCTAAATCATTTCTCTCAAGTTCAAAATTCCACAAATCTCTAGGGCAGGGGCAAAATGCTGCCAGTCTCTTTGCTAAAACATAGCAAGAGTCACCTTTGCTCCAGTTCCCAACAAGTTCCTCATTCCATTTGAGAACACCTCAGCCTGAATTTTATTGTTCATATCACTATCAGCATTTTAGGCAAAGCCATTCAACAAGTCTCTAGGAAGTTCCTGACTTTCCCACACTTTCCTGTCTTCTTCTGAGCCCTCCAAACTGTTCCAACCTCTGTATGTTACCCAGTTCCAAGTAGCTTCCACATTTTCAGGTACCTTTTCAGCCACGCTCCACTCTGCTGGTACCAATTTACTATATTACTTCCTTTTTATGCTGCTGATAAAGACATACCTGAGACTGGGAAGAAAAATAAATTTAACAGACCTACAGTTTCACTTGGCTGTGGAAGCCTCACAATCATGGCATAAGGCAAGGAGGAGCAAGTCAAGTCTTACATGGATGGCAGCAAACAAAGAGAGAGTTTATGCAGGGGAACTCCCTTTCTTAAAACCATCAGATCCCCTGAGACATACTAGCTATTGCTAGAACAGCCTAAGAAAGACCCATCCCCATGATTCAATTACCTCCCACTGGGCCCCTCCCATGGCATGTGAGAATTGTGGGAGTTACAATTCAACATGAAATTTGTGTGGTACACAGCCAAACCGTATCATTATGTATCTGAGAGATATCTAATATCCAGAATCTATAAGGAACTTAAATAATTCAATAAGGAAAAACAAATAACCCCAATAAAAAGTGGTCAAAAGACACAAACAGAGACTTCTCAAAAAAAAAAGACATACAAGCAGCCAATTAACATATGAAAAAATTATCCACATCACTAATCATCAGAGAAATGCAAATCAAAACCACAATGAGATACCATTTCACACCACTCAGAATGACTGTTATCAAAAAATGAAAAAAATAAAAATAAAAAAATAAACAGGTACCGGTGAGGCTGCAGAGAAAAGAGAATGCTTATATACTATTGGTGGAAATGTAAACTAGTTCAGCCACTGTGGAAAGCAGTTAGGAGATTTCTCAAAGAAGTTAAAACAGAGCTGCCATTCGGCCCAGCAATCAATTCCATTACTGGCATATATTCAAAAGAAAATAAATGTTCTACCAAAAAGATGCCTGCACTTATGTGTTCATTGCAGCACTATTCACAATAGCAAAGATATGAAATCAACCTAGGTGCCCATCAGTGATGCATTGGATGAAGAAAATGTGGTACACATACACCATAGAATACTACAGAGCCATTAAAAAATAACAAAACCATGTCCTTTTCAGCAACATGGATGGAGCTGGAGGTGATTATCTTAAGCAAATAATGCAGGAACAGAAAACCAAACACCACATTTTCTCACTCATAAGTGGGAGCTAAACACTAAGTTCTCCTGGACATAAAGATGCCAACAATAGACTCTGGGGACTACTAAAGCAGGGCAGTTAAGAGAGTGGGGCCAGGGCTGAAAAACTATTGGCTACTATGCTCACTACTTGGGTGAAGGCATCATTCATATGCCAAACATTGCCACACAATAGACCCATGTAACAAGCATGCACATGTACCCCCTGAATCTAAAATAAACATCATAATTATTTTTAATAAAAAGAAATAAAAATAAAATAAAACTTTTAGTTTTTTTCTCTCAAAATTGCTCATTTCATTCTTTCTTATCATAGTTAATGAAAACTCCATTCTTCCAGTTATTCACTCTCAACATCTTGGAGATGTCCCTGATGTATCTCTAAACTAGTCACAATTTCTGTTTTATTGTCAAAATATAACCACAGTCCAATTACTTTATCCAAGCACAGCATTACTCCTTTTCCTGCCATCATAATCTCTTACCTGGATTGTTGCACTGGTCTTGTGAAGGTTCTTCCTGCTTTTGTCCTTGGTTTTCTAGAGCCTTTTTTTTATGTGGTGGTCAATGAGATCCTCGTAAAATGCAAATCAGATCATATTGCCACTTGGTTAAAAAGTTTCTGTTGACTTCCTTTCTCATTCAGAATGAGAATAGAAGTCCTCACCAAGGCCTACAAAGCCGGATATAGTTTGGCCCTGCTCTCTCCCTGATCTTGCAATCTTAGCTCCTACAAAGAGAGAGTTTATGCAGGAGAACTCCCCTTTTTACAACCATTAGATCTCATGAGACTTATTCACTATTGCTAGAAAAGCACGAGAAAGTCCTGCCCCCATGATTCAATTACCTCCCACTGGGTCCCTCCTTCTGACTCACTTAGGACCAATCATAGTAGCATTCCTGTTCCTCAAATTTCTAAGTATCATTCCACCTCAAGACCTTTGTACTTGCTGTTCTTTCCCTGGAATACTTTTCCCCATGATATCCACATAGTTAATTACTGACTTCCTTCAGGTCTCTGCTCAAATATCATTTTCTGGCAATCTTCTTGAAAATCCATTAGCAACCCCTACCTTGATACTGTTGTGCTTCTGAAACTGTTATTAATGTACTCAGATTCTGTTATTAAGGGTTGCCCATCTGAGTCATTTTGAAGAAAGAAGACGGCTAGCACTCTGTTTCAAGGGGCCAACCTAAACTTGGCCCTGAATCAGACACATACTGTTTTTCAAGGTGGGCTTCTGATTGAGGCTTCTGAGCTTGACTGCAGACACTGGTCAAAGTCCAGAGGCAGAGAGTAACCAATGGTGGCTCCAGATAACTCGAGCAGTGTGGAGGTTCCAGTCAGTGTCTGGGGTCTACACAGGCCAGCACAACATTTGCTGGACAGCCTAAAACACAGCACTGCGCATCTGTCTGCCATTGGCTTTCGCCCACTGGTAATGCTGATTTAGAAGGAATTTGCAAACGTTATCTAGGTATCAGGAGCCTAACAAAGTAGGTCATCAATTAATTCAGCACTCCCTTCCTCGTGGAGGAAGTAAATGCCAATCAGGGTGCAACCAAGACACACAGATTGTAAGAATGCTGTGAGAATTGGGTGGAGGCTATGCATCTCAGTGAATTTGGTTGAGGCTATGGATCTGAGTGAGCTTGTGAATTCAGGGTTCAATCCTGACATATAGGATGCTAATGTGAAAATAGTATGATTAATTTGGAGGCTCACAGGGCAGGATATTTGAATTTACATGGACACTGCCAAAGCTTGTTAGGATTATCTGAGCCTATCAAAGCAGTGTTTATAAAACAACAGAGGCCTAGGGTAGTTCTGAGTTCACTTAAAAACACTCATTTTCTTTAGACTAGATTTAAACTTTTTAGGAGGAGAACACAACTTACAATGCCTAATGTAACGTAATGAGTATGCAACAGGAATCACAAAATACTTGAGGATTAAGGGCAGAAGCAGCATTTTAAGTCTCCTAGAATCTCTAATTTGCTTTTCACTCTGTTATTATTACCTCTACTTTTTTATTACTATTATGCACTTAGAAGTGATCTCATAAATACATGTTAAATTGAAGGTACTATACTCAGGTTAATATTTATCTAAAGGCCCTTATGAGCATATAAGTAAATATATTAATCAACAATATTAAAAAATCTATTTGATTATCCACAATTGAAACCTGAGTATATAAAAATAATCTCAAATTTCATTAAAAATCAATTATGGGCCAGGTGTGATGGCTCACGTCTGTAATCCCAGCACTTTGGGAGGGCGAGGCAGGTGGATCACAAGGTCAAGAGATCGAGACCATACTGGTCAACATGGTGAAACCCCGTTTCTATTAAAAATACAAAAATTAATTCTTTGTATTTGTAATTACCAATTCTTTTTCTATAGTATTCAGGCTTCATATATTAGATTAATCATATGAATTAAATTCGACTAATAAAATGAAATAATTTTTCTATAAAATTCATCATGCTCTGTGTGCATAATTTACAGAACCAACAAATGTAGAATCAGCACACTTAGGACAACATTAAGGGATCCTTGCACACAATCATCTGCTAAAGAGAAAGCTAAAGTTTGCATCATTCTCCTTCTGAGTTGTGCCTAGTTCATGGCTTTCCTACTGAAAAAGAGTGAAAGAGGCATTACTTTACCACTTTATACTTTACTGGAATTTTTCCATAGTCCCTTCCTTCCGTCCCTTCTTTCCTTCCTTCCTTCCTTCCTTCCTCCCTCCCTCCCTCCCTCCCTTCCTTCCTTCCTCTCCTCCTCCTCTGTCTTCTTCTTCTTTCTTCTTCTTCTTGCTGCTGCTGCTGCTTCTTCTTCTGCTGCTGATTCTTCTCTTCTTCTTTCATTTCTTCTTTCCCTCCTCCTCCTCCTCTTTCTTCCTCTTCTTCTTCTTCTTCTCCTTCTCCTTCTCCTTCTCCTTCTCCTTCTCCTTCTCCTTCTCCTTCTTCTTCTTCTTCTTCTTCTTCTTCTTCTTCTTCCTTCTTTCTTCTTCTTTGCTTTCATTTTTGTTCTGGGGCTACATGTGCAGGTTTGTTATATAGGTAAATTGTGTGACATTGAGGTTTGGTGTATGAATGATCCCAAGTACTGAGCATAATATTCAATAGGTAGCCTTCCAACCCACACTTCCCTCCCACTCTTGAGCTTCAAACAGTCCTCAATGTCTCTTGTTTCCATATTTGTGTCCATGAATATTTAATGTTTATCTCCCACTTATAAGTGAAAACATGAAGTATTTGGTTTCCTGTTTCTGTGTTAGTTTGCTTAGGATAATGACCTTCATCTCCATTCATGTTGCTGCAAAGGACATGATTTTGTTCTTTTTTATGGCTGCAGAGCATTTCATGGTGTATATGTACCACATTTTCTTTTTTTTAATGTTTTGCTCTCTGCACAATATTATATACAGTACCTAATTTTTAAAAAAATATGATAACTTTTCTTCCAATGCATATTTATTATAGGGGACATATTTTGGTCTTTATGGAATTGTGTCAAATATATATTCTCTCATGTGTTATTTTATGAGAAGTTGTATATATCACTCAACTGTGCCCAATGAGCATTAAATGAGGATGCAAAGGTCCAATGTAAAAGTTCATTGCATCTCTATCTAAAAAGAATTTTAATAGCTTTAATGGTAGCTGTAGATAACAACAAACAACAGTTCTATCTTCAAATATACTTCATTACATGTGACTTCATTACCATTACCAAGATGGTCATGCCAATTTCAATCCAAGGTGTACTGTACACATTTTCTTTATCCAGTCCAGCACTGATGGGCATCTTGGTTGATTCCATGTCTTCACTATTGTGAATAATGTTGCAATGAACATATGAGTGCATGTCTTTTTGCTAGAATGATTTATTTTCCTTTGAGTATATACCCAGTAGTGAGATTGAGGATTGAATCGTACTTCTGTTTTAAGTTCTTTGAGAAATCTCCAAACTGCTTTCCACAGCAGCTGAACTAATTTACATTCACACCATCAGTGTCTGAGCATACACTTTTCTCTGCAGCCTCACCAGAGTCTTTTTTTTCACTTTTTAGTAGTCATTCTGACTGGTGTTAGATGGTATTTCATTCAATCAAAATACAAATCATATTTTGATTTGTATTTGTCTGATGATTAGTGATATTGAACATTTTTTCATATAGTTGCCAGCCATTTATATGTCTTCTTTTGAGAAGTGTCTGTACATGTCCTTTGTCCATTTTTTAATGGCATTGTTTGTTTTTGTTTGTTGAATTAAGTTTCTTATTGATTCTGGATATTAGACCTTTGCTGGATGCATGCTGGATATTAGACCTTTGCTGGATTCATGGTTTGTGAGTATTTTCTCCTATTCTGCAGGTTGTCTGTTTACTCTGTTGATTGTTTATTTTGCTGTGAAGAATCTCTTCAGCTTAAATATGTCCCCCTTTGTTGATTTTTTCTTGTCGTAATTGCTTTTGGTCACTTAGTCATAAATTCTTTCCCAAGGCCAAGTACAGAATGGTATTTCCTAAAATTTCATTTGGGGTTTAATTGTTTGAGGTCTTGCATTTAAGTATTTAATCCATCTTGACTTAATTTTTGTACATAGTGAAAGGTAGGGTTCCAGTTTCATTCTTCTGCATATGGCTGACCAGTTACTCCAGCATCATTTATTGAAAATGGAGTCATTTGCCCATTGTTTGTTATTGTCAACTTCATCAAAAATCAGGTGGTTTTAAGTGTGTGACTTTATTTTTAGGTTCTCTATCCTGTTCCATTGGCTTATGTGTCTGTTTAGTACAACAGTACCACCATACTGTTGTGGTTACTGTAGTATAGCTTGAAGTTTGGTAGCATGATGCCTTTGGCTTAGAATTGCTTTGGCTATCCGAGCGGTTTTTTGATTCCATATAAATTTAGACTAGTTTTTTTCTAATTCCGTGAAAAATGAGGTTGGTAGTTTGATAGGAACATGGTTGATTTTACAGATTGCTTTGGGCAGTCTGGCCATTTTAACAATGGTGATTCTTCCTATTTATGAGCTTGGAATGTTTTTCAGTTGTTTGTTTTGTTTCAGATTTCTTTCAGCAACGTTTTGTAATTCTTAAAAGATCTTCCACCTCCTTGATAAGCTGTATTTCTACATATTGTATTCTTTTTGTGGTTTTTGTAAATGGGTTTGCATTCTTGATTTGGTGCTCAGCTTGAATGTTGTTATATAAATGCCAGGTATTTTTTGTGCATTTATTTTGTATCTTAAAACGTTACGGAAGTTTTTTTTTTTTTTTTTTTTATCAGTTGTAGGAGCCTTATGTTGAAGTCTATAGGGCTTTCTATGTATGGAATCATATGGTCTATGAAGAGAGATAGTTTGGCTTCCTCCTTTCCTATTTTGGATACCTGATAGTTCTGGCTAGGACTTCCAGTAGTATGTTGAATAAGAGTGGTGAGAATGAGCATCCTTGTCTTGTTCCAGCTCTCAAGGGGAATGCTTCTAGATTTTGCCTGTTTAGTGTGATGTTGGCTGTGACTTTGTCATATATGTCTCTTATAGTTTGAACAGGCAGTCAATGAGATAAAACATGATTTTTAGATTTTGCATCATCTGATACCATTAGTCTCCAGATTATATTGAACTTAAATTTGATCAACCTAAATATTAGGATACATATTTATTTTTAAATTCCGGTTCCACAGAGTAATTACATGTACTCTAGAAGTTTAAAACCTAAAACAGACAAAGCTGAACTAAACAACAGGGATTTGTGTCTTCATCTTTTTGTATCTCTTAAAATGCTGCAAAACATTAGATGATAAATAGTTGTGGAATTGATATTACTTCACTGTACATTTAATTTGCCTTAAATTTATTACATAAAAACTCATACTATAAAAAATAGTAGATTTAAATGGTATTTTCTTGACAAAAGAAATCTCAGATTGCATTAGTATCAATTACCTTAGCATGGTTACAAATATGAAAATTACATATGATTCTATATATTAAAAATTTGTGCAAATTTGTTTTCAGTTGTGTGTCAAATTGAGTTTAAATATTGTTCTCTTCCAGCGTCTCTGTCACAAATTCATCCATCTTTAAATGATACCACATTAGTCTTCCTAAAGCATGAGTCTAAATATTCACTTTATACCTCAACTTCCTTTATTGGATTTTCATTATTTAAACATTCTATACCAAGAACACTCTTGGGGAATTCATCATGATCAGCCATGCATCCCCTACTTACATTTCCATTCTTCTTTCCCAAGGCTTCTTTTTTTCATTCTGTACTTCCACCAAAATAGGCTACTCATTTTACCTAGAACACATCCCAAATTTCCTGCCCTTGTTTTTCCATGCTAATCCACCTACTCTTATATCATTTCCTTACTTCTGCTGCCAACTTATTATCCATTCTTCAAAAGCTCAAATGTCTTTCCACATACTTTTAAACTTGATTCAATTTTTCTTACTATTAATTATCTTAATTAGTCATTTATGCCATTTGCACATTCTACAATTTACTTTGGTTATACAGATATTTGCATTAGGGTTTCTCATCATTCTTCAATCTACAGAAGTAGTGGAGAATTTTGCTCACTTAATATTGAGCTCAATAAATATTGCTGAATTTAACTGAGGATCAAGGATGCTTTTGTGGAATGATTAAATGAATAGTATAAGGAAAGAAATGACAGACATATATGGGCATATTTATCATGAATACCCCTAAATGAAATGGAGAGGAACATATAACTTGGTTACAGAGGATGTGGCCATTATGCAAGCTAGGACAGTCACATCCAATTTCAGATACATCCTTAGCTCTTTACCTCAGAAGTATGCATTGCATTGGGCAGAGGTCACGATTCATCCATCTTTAAATTCATTTTCTAGCATATGGAAGGTGTTAAGTAAATACACATTTAATGAATGTATATAACATCCTGCTGCAGTATGATTTCTGTCATCAAGATGTGAGTCAAGATTTTGAACTCAAAAATTAGCACAATAATATCCCCACCTGGAAATAGTATTATCTGTGTGTACTTCTCCACTCAAGATAAAAAATACATGCTAACTATATCATTAAACAATGTTTAAGACTGATCATCATTGGTGGGTTCATCTTGGACTTTTCAAAAACATTCAAGAATGCACTAACCAAGAATGAATAACTTTTATTCAGAATTTATGTTATTACTTAAAATGTTTAAAGCCATATCATCCATAGTATTTTGAGAACTAAACTGCCTTCCTTTTTAAAAAAAATTTCCAGTGGTTGCCTTACTCAGGACATGCAATCACAACATTGACTCATGATACTTAAGACTTTAGTTATTTAAAAAACAAAATTTGGGAGCTACTTTTTATTTCAAAGTAATGCATTTATTCAAAAATTATTACAAAATACATGTGAAAGATTAAGAAAACAATGTTATAACATAATCACTGAAAGATAATCATCATTACATATTTTGGTGCATATATTTCTAGCTACTTTATGCATATTTGTATAATTTTATTTTTTCCCACAAAATCAGAAACATATCTTAAACCATCTTTTTCACTGAAATTTCCATTTAAAATAGCTTTCAATACAAATAAATACACTTCTGTAATATTAATGGCAGAATGCATGTGGTTTATTTTATTTATTTTACTGCTTTAGGTAATTAATTCTTCAGGCTAAATCTTTGTATAAGAAGTGTTTGATTATCTTCTAGGATAAGATCTTGGAAATGAAATGTTGCTTCAAATGTCCCCGTTACTCTACATCTTCACATTTGAGGATTTATTTGTGTCTATGTAAGGCTTCTTGTCTGGATCATTTCATAACTGGAATCCTTGGTACCATATCAATTAAGACAAAATAATAAAAAGAGGACTCTAAATTATGCCAACAGTCCACTTACCTATGAGGCTGAAAGCCACTGTCTAAGTAATTGCCAATGCTGTACTTCTTTTCTTTTCTATCAGAATTTGGACTCAACTATTAAAGTTAAGTTGTTTTCAATTAAACAAAGAAAACCTGACTGTATTAGTTTGCTTGTACCAACCAAGTCCTATATATTGAGAGGCTTAAACAACAGAAACTTATTTCCTCACAGTTCTGAAGACTAGAAGTCCAAGACCAAAGTGTCAGCAATGTTGGTTTCTTCTGAGGGCCTCTCTGCTTAACTTGCAGCTGACAATCTTTTTCTGTTGTCTTCACTTGGTCCTTCCATTCTGTCTGTGTCTAAATTTCCTCTTCTTATAAGGATAACCATCATATTGGTTAGGGCCCACTCTAATGACCTCCTTTAAAATTAATGACCTCTTTAAAGGCCCTATCTTCAAATACAGTCATGTCCCGGTGTAATGAGGGTTACGACTTCAACATATGAATTTGGGGATGATAATTCATTCGATAATACTTACAATTTTGTATCATCTCTTCTAGTAAGTGAATAGTAGTCCTTGTATTATTCTAAAGTATGATGATAAAGGATTTCAGATAGCCATATTTCATCAATCAATAAAAAAAAATCTTTCCACACTTCATTGATAAGATTCATGAGAGTGGGGACTGGGTCTGTCTTCATTATTATTCCCATTGGCAAATATATTGTCTAAAACAGAATGGGTACATAGTGAACATTTGTGAATTAGATGAATAAATGAAAGAAATATCCATTTACTTAAGAAACTGTGATAATTAGTGCTAGGGAAAAATCAAGGAAGTGTTGTGTCACTTTCAAAGACTGTGCAATATCAAGGGAAGGCTTACAGCATTTGAAGTCAGATAATAAAGCCATATTGCAAATTAAAATGCCCTCAAGGGGTAGGCAAGTAATTTAAATGTGTGAAGCAGATATGAGTAAGAAAATAAGGAATGATAGGGGCCTTCTATTAACTACACAATCAGTATTAATCTTAAAGGTAATTAAATTATACTTTCTTTAAAAATCAGCAATAATACTGTACTTTTAAATGAAATATGTCTGAGAATTTACTTAGAACCACAATGTGTCAGTTCTTGACTTTTGTTTAGGATATGCAGTTGCATCATTTTACAAATCAACTAAAAACATCATTGAAATCAAATGGCTAATGAATAGCACAGATTCTGCAATATTTGTGGTAGGCACTGACTGATCTGAGAAAAGACAATAGAACTAACAGTTCATTTTGTCCATCAAACCATTGCCAAATGGAAATGTAATCTAAGCAATCTCGAAATGTCTTCACTGGTTTAAAACATGTGAGTAATTCTACATTGAAATCTTTACCAATTTCTAGACTCTCTTATTAGTTATAAAAACTATTATAGTAAACCTCTAAATTGTTTCCCAATTGTGTTATATGTGTCTATGAATCCATTGCTTTTTACCCAGACAATTTTTTAAATGTCTCCATTGTTCTGCAGCAGGTTATTATTTCAATTATTTACAGAGATCTACATGGTTAAAAAAAATCACTTCAGATCAATTCCCATAAACTAACATTACATCTCGCTTTTTCATAGCCTCTATCAATTCCCTTCCTGTTGTGCTATATGTCTCAGCCAAAGGAGTATATTTATCAGATGTTGAATGAATTCCTCTACCAAAACATATTCTCTCACAAAAGAGAAAGTAAGTGATGAGTACTTTATACTCTACTTTAGGCCCAGCATTTGATTTAACCTAGGGCTATATGTACATATAAATTTTCATGGACACATTTAATACATTTCCATTTTTATAGCCCTCTCAAACTTTTCAAATAGAAGTGAAGGGCTGTTTAATCCCTTCTCTTTGAGAGATTTAGGAATATAATATATGTGTATACAACCTGACTTGCTGGCTCTACATTTGGCTTTTTTTGAATCAGATATTAATTTGAGAAGACAGTTTAATATTTTCAATAAATATTACATGTTGCTGTTTCACACAAGAGGGATTTGTCTTCTCTGAATTAATTTAGTAACCTGAAAGGTTTCAGATGGTAGAACATTCATTTAGATGCAAAATCACAAGGTACAGTCAGAAGCAATGGAAACCTCTCTAATGCTCAGTTGAGGACCCTGCTGGGCTAAAATGTCTCTACACATTTTCCTTCTCATATTTAGGAGAACTGTAAATCGCTGGAAACAGCTACTTCATTTCTGTTCTCTGGCCAGTGCTTGAATCCCAGGAGACATTCCAGGGTGTATGGGTTTGATGTCTTCAGCACATCCTCCAGAGGACTCTCTATACATACCACAGTTGAACTGGCTGCCTTTGTAAGAAGTTTTGATCCAGCAATAAGATTGCATTATCTCTTTTCCCTGGAGAGAAAGATCCCGTTTGATCAAGTTTACAGTCACCTCAGGGTCAGCAGGGAGCATTTTGCATTATGTCTTGCTGGCTCTTCCGCAGCCTGCAGTGGAGTCCATCTGCTCTCCTGACAGTACCCGTTTAAACTTGAGCAGCAGCATTAAGAAGGGAGGGGTCAGGAAAGGGATGAAGCATAAAGAAATCCAGGTATGAATTGGTGACCAGATGTTTCAGTTGGAGGGAGCAATGTCCAATCTATTGTTAGAAATTCCCATTTCAGTGTTGCTTAACTATACTAGTTTTCAGCACCCCAGTATTTTATGTTCTCTCAGGTTTAGGGTTAATTACCATTCTTCTTTAGAAGCACATTTTGAGGACATCAGGTGAGTGAAGAGATTTTCCTGCCCTATCAGAGTGGTTTTCTTCCAGGAAAATTCCATCTTTCTATTAAAATAAATTTCACACTAAAAACTTGCATTAAAATATTTTTAAAGAAAAATATCAGTATTTCATTTTATAGTAATCGCTATGAAAGTATGAAACCATTCTATGAAGCACTTACTTTGCCTATGGAAAGTTGTTTCATGTACATTTCTAAAGCATTAACAAATCACAACACATACAGTGTCATGGACGATTAGAAAATTATTAGCTAATTAATTTTTATTAGCCAAAAAAACCCCTCAAAAATTAACATACATGGCTTTCTTTTCTCCTGGATCTCATCATGTTCTTTTGAGAGATTTTTCCTTTGGTGATTAGCAGAAGATATTTCTCTAGATTCCAAAATGAGGAGTAACATTACTGATGTTAGGAGATCTACTCATGCAAAATGCTGCTGATTGTGCTAGAAAGGACAGTGAGAGTCAGGGAAATTTATTCCTCTAACCCTGATTATATCTTCAGTTTAATATGTAGGCAGCACTGAATTCACTGCCTTGTACTAAATAAATGCCTGTGACTCATTTTCTTCAACTGTTCACTGAGAGAATTTAGAGAATTGTTAGACTGGAACCTTGCTTTTCAAAGCATAGGCTGCAGATCAGGAGCCTGTCCACAGAGCCCAGAGCCACTGATTCAGAATCTGCAATTTAACAAGTTCTCCTTATTATTCATATGCACATTAGAGTTTAAGAAGCAGTGTGTCAATTAACTTCAAGGACCTCTTCTTCAACAATCCCTAATTTCATGGGATAAAAATCTCATAGGGTATTGATATTTTGGCAGGGTGTCCCAATTTAGCTCAAAGTAAGATTCGTGTTCTTGCTCTTTGCAGAACTGGAATGCAGGTGAACACTTAGGACATTTGTTTTTTCACATGAATTTACATGTATGGTGTTTTTGTGTTAAGGCTGAAGATCAGAGTTGTCAGGAGAAAAGATGATCATGGCAAAGACAATGGAGGGAGTGAGATGACCTTTATTCTCAGGCTGTCTTCGTGAACTAGTTTTAAATTCTAAAAGAAAACACATGACCGGAAGTTGAATACCATCATTATAACCCATGATGATTTGGTCTTTGTCAACAATTCAGTGCAGAAATACCCTCCCCAGTTTCTTCAGTAATAGCCAGTAGCAGCATCAGTGACAATTGTGGAACAGCAGCCAATAACTGCTGTGCCCAGAAGACTATCAGGGAGTCATGGTCATGGAGTGTACCAATGAGTGTGGTACTAGCAATGAGCCTTCCTCTGATAGCCTTTGATTATTGCACTGAAGGGATATTACTAGAACAGAAAAAAATGCATGAACTGCTTTGGGAGCACACATACACCCTTGGGGTGCCTAGAAATAACTGCCCTACAGTGGAGCTCTAAGAGTGAATCCATCGTTCCCTTCATACCTGAAAATATATATATATATTTTTTTTTTTTTTTTTTTTTTTTTTTTTTTTTTTTTTTTGAGACGGAGTCTCGCTCTGTCGCCCAGGCTGGAGTGCAGTGGCGGGATCTCGGCTCACTGCAAGCTCCGCCTCCCGGGTTCACGCCATTCTCCTGCCTCAGCCTCCCAAGTAGCTGGGACTACAGGCGCCCGCCACTACACCCGGCTAATTTTTTTGTATTTTTAGTAGAGACGGGGTTTCACCGTTTTAGCCGGGATGGTCTCGATCTCCTGACCTCGTGATCCGCCCGCCTCGGCCTCCCAAAGTGCTGGGATTACAGGCGTGAGCCACCGCGCCCGGCCCATACCTGAAAATATTTAAGTGAATGAAGCTTTTATCCAGCAAATTGTTCAAACCAAGAACTAGGAATAATCTTTGACTTCCCTTCTCCACCATTTCCATATGTAATCAACGACCATATCTGATCATTTAAAACTCTTAAATACTCTAATCAGTTTCTCTCTAATCCTATTACTTTCCCACTTCAGGGTAATATGTATCAGGAACAAGCTTGCAACTGGCCACCTTGAAAATGATTTTGTTTCCCTTAATCCATTTGTCATCATTTGGAAGTTCATTTTTAATCTTGTCCCTGAATAACTCTCTAGTTCTATCTTCTTCCATTCCCTTACAATGTATATGATATTTATGTGTATTAATTTTACTTTTAAATGTATTATACTTGTGTTTTAACTTTGAATCTTTCTACATGTTTTCACCAACTTAGTGGGCTATTCCTTCTCCATTTGAGCCAAGTATTCCTCATTCTTCAAGTCTTAACTTAGATGGAGTTTAAATAAACTATGTATTTTGGACTCTACTAGGTAATTTTGACTCTCCATAACTTATGGAGCATATAACAGGTAGAGATTTCCTCTTCTCAGAGATCAGAAATAGCCCCCTAAAGATTTTCTCGGACCTTAATTAACGCTCCCATTTTTAACAATAAAATAGCTAATGGATTTTAAAGTGGACACCATCCTTTCAGGACTTTAATAAGTTGATGATACCTTTCCTTGATAGTATGACTCCTTAATAGAATAATCTCCAGTCACTTTTGTTCTGTCAAACATACAAAACATAAACTACAAGTAATTATAAGAAAATCTGAATGACTAAAAAGATGGGCTTGACTACTATTTCTAGTCAATCATATTCCCTGTGTTAATTGTTTATGCATGACTTTGAACATACAATAACATTTAAAAAACCCAGTTAAGGGTTATTGGAATGGCTTTGTTTAACGTTTCTTGCTCTTCATAAACAGCTATCCTACACAGAAAGGTCGCAAAGAGTTTCAGCAGCCCTCTTCTCCATACTGATCCTCTTTACCTCTTATTACATAAACAAGACCAGTGACTTAGTAGGCTTTTCTCTCCCCCATATTGGACATAATTTCAAAAGAGAGGCTTTTAACCCACCGAACTAGGTCTGTGACTGCTCTCTGATTTCCCTTCACGTGGATTTCATGTAACCAATTATCTCCGATATTATTCTCATGGTACTGCACATAGGCTGTCTCTTGAGAGCCAAAATACCAAAAATCAAGTAAAGTAATCCAAGAGAACTGAAATTCTCATATTCTCCCACTCAAGGAAAATTTTTGTTATTTTTGCTTATTTTGGGAGCAATATTATACTATGTGGTAAACAGTTAATTTTCTATAAAAAAGACTCAAAGTCCTGCATATGTCCTCTCCCTTCGTAGTCGCACAATTTACGTTAAAGACAGACAGAAACAGTGAAATTCAGAGTATGTCATCTGTGCCTTTTTTTTTCTCTTTTTCTTTTCTTGGTGGTGGTGGTGGTGGTGGAGGAGGGTCCTTATTGACTACCAGGTGGATTTTTACCATAAATGGATATCATTTCAAACTGCTCTAACATTCACAGTTTTCAATATACAGAGAAATCTGAAGCCAAGTGAGCTCTTCTTCTTCCTCTTTTTCCTAGTGAACACTTTACGTAGCTATTATGAGATGGTGTCTTCAAAAATTCCTCTCTCTGAGATTCCTTTTACTGAATATAATATCCCTCCCTACTTGGAAATGTGAGAAGGCCTATATATTTCCCATTTCTTGACTGTTCTGGCAATTTTCCCTGAGAAGGAGGAAAAACCCTATAAAATTTCTTTTGGTCCCCAAAGCAGAAACATCTGCTGGAGTCATGAGTAGTTGGCGCTGCTGCTCAGCTCCAGCCTGGAGTTGATTATCTCTCCTGCTTTACCAGTGTTCGTGTAGTCAGTAAGGAACACACGGGAAGTTTCTGGGAAGACTCATTATAAATAATGGGAACAGGGAAGAGAAGAAAGAGGGAAAAGGTTCAAGCTACTTTGGCCGATGCATTTTATGAGTTTCACAAACTAAAATCATTAGACCACCAAACTGCTTGATAAGAAATCAAGACCTAAAAAAAATAATAAAAAAAAAAATCAGGACATTGTTTTCTGTAAATACAGCTGCTTGGCAAAAGCAAATAAGAAGAGTGACAAATTGTTGGTTGAATTTTATTTTCCTACCAGAAAAAAAAAAAAAAAAAAAAGGTTATTTTAAGTAGCAGTCTGGGGAAAGAATTAGTTGCTTACTTCTCTGAAAGTTGTCAATTGCATGTTACCTCACTGTGGAGTTGGCAGTGAGTAGCATTTCCTGGGTTGAGTGCACAGGCATTTTTATTATTCGAAATAGTTTAACAGGTGCAAGTCAGGTCCTGCTAGAAATGCTTATATATGGCAATGTACTGAACTCTTTCCTAAATTAATTCACTTCACCCAATGCACAAGATTATGTGGCAAGATCTTTGGTGTGCTGTCAATTCAATCAGTTACTTAACAGATGAAAGTAACCCTAGTTTTTTGCATCCTCCAGTAACTCTGACAATTTTATTATTTTTCAACCATCGGCTTTTCTAATGTAACAACTGACAGGGTCAAAATGCTCTCTGTCATTCTGACAGGATTTACAGGGGGGAAATGAACAGATTAGATTGAAAAGGTCCTGATATAAAGATTTAGAATAGAATTTCAATGCACTTATGTACAGAAGGAAGGGTTAACTAGTGGAGTGTGGGAGAGTGTCTATGGAATAAAGTTAATTGGTGTAAGTGGAGGTGACTTTCTGAGACAGGAGTTCTCACACTGACTGCATCAGAAAGCCCCTGAGTGCTTGTTGAAACACACATTGCTGTCCCCCAACCCCCAGTCAAAGACGCTGATCCAGTAGATGTGGGGCAAAGCCCAGGGATTTGCATTTCATAGTTTCCAGGTGCTGATCACAGAGCAGTCCTGAGAACCATACATTTTGAACCACTGTGGTAAGAGACAGTGGGGAAATCAAGTCAGAATCCCAGAGTGTATAACTAAGAGAGAGGCTCCTTGGATTTCCATGCTAGTAAACTACTAACCAGTTGTCAATGATAGCACAGGCTCACTTTCTTCTAATTCTAAATTCATCTTTAGATGAAGGGGCACAGTTTCATTCTACGATAGTCTAAGGTGACTCCTATTTGATGCAACTGTCCTCCCATTTCTTATCCCTATGTCTATATTGCTATATTCATGATTTTCTTCAGATGTGGCTTTTTTGACAATTAATTATTCTGATGACTCAGTGACTTTTCATTGATTTCATATTAAAGTCAATTCTACTCCAGTAGCACCCCATAAATGCCTAGAGACATCAACACAGAGGCAAGTTTCTTCTTACAATTTAGTTTGATTTTCTATCATAAACAATATTAACTTCTCACTTGTATACTCTCCAGAGTAAATTCTCAGCCTCACTCACATTTTTCAGGTGAGATTTACACCCTAGAGGAGTGTCCTCTGCTCTGGTCTCAGGCAACACGCACCTACCTCTGATATATTTTCTTATTAACTTCCCATGTTTCTACTTCATCAATAATCCATCACCACCTTTTATCAATACATGCATACACAAACAACCTCATTTGCCTGGAATCTTTGAGGATGATGCCTTAATGAATTCCTTGGTTGTTGAAGGCTCCTCTAAAAAATGTTTTTTATTTGTTTGTTTTGTTTTGTTTTTGAGACAGAGTTTCACGCTTATAGCCCGGACTGGAGTGCAATGGCGCAATCTTGGCTCACTGCACCCTCCCCCCGCCAGGTTCAAGCAATTCTCCTGCCTCAGCCTCCTGAGTAGCTCAGATTACGGGCGCCCGCCACCATGCCCAGCTAATTTTTGTATTTTTAGTAGAAACCAGGTTTCGCCATGTTGGCCATGCTGCTCTCGAACTCCTAACCTCAGGTCATCCGCCCACCTCGGCCTCTCAAAGTGCTGGGATTACAGGCATGAGCCACTGTGTCCGGCCTAAAAAATGTTTTTAATACTAACTTTTGTACTAATGTGGAAGTTTGACTGAAAGCATTTCTTGATAACTCAGTCTCATCCTAATAAACCTGTATTTTAGTGGTTTGTTATATTCCCATGGTTTATGATAAGGACTGTAAAGACCATTGAGACTTCTACAATAATATAGTAAATGGCTCTGGGCCACATGGATCATTTAATTTTTAATGTTTTATTTGGAACTACTGTTAAACCTTTAAGAAAGTTGCAAGATAGTAGAAAATCTTCTTCTGTCTCTCACCCTGCTTCTCCTAATGTTAATATCTGACATAACCATGGTATAATTATGAAGAACAGGAAATTAACATTGGTATCATAGTCTTAACTGAATTTCATCTCTTATTTGTATTTCATTAATTTTACACTAATGTCCTTTATCTTTTCCAGCACTTTGCCTAGGATCCCACATTGCATTTAATTAACAGTGTTTTCATTTATAGACACTTCTTAGTATCTGCCCCACCTCTAACAGCTCCTCAGACTTTTCTTGTTTTTCATAACCTCGACACTTTCTGAACCCGAAGTGTGGATGTGAGGGAACCCCAAATGTGGATGTGAGGAAAACACAAGTGCAAATATTAACAAACTAACTAGAGTTCTGTTGACAAACTGACTCAGAAAGAAAGGCTATGGCCAGGCACGGTGACTCAGTCTGTAATCCCAGCCCTCTGGGAGGCCGAGGTGGACAGATCACCTGAGATCAGTAGTTTGAGGTTTGAGACCAGTTTGGCCAACATGGCAAAACCCTGTCTCTACTAAAAATACCAAAAAAAAAAAAAAAAAAAAAAAATTAGCTGGCAATGGTGGTGCATGCTTGTAATCCCAGCTACTTGGGAGGCTAAGGCAGGAGAAACACTGGAACCCAGGAGGCAGAGGTGGCAGTGAGCTGCAATTGTGCCACTGCACTCCAGCCTGGGAAATAAAGTGAGATTCTGTCTCCAGAAAAAAAAAAAAAAAAAAAGGACTAGCGAACAAGACCTAATCTAGTTATCTTTTAGATAAACCTATGGTATGCTTGGTGAAATACCTAGAAACAATGAGCCCCGTATAGGTCTTACCATAGCTGACATCAGAAAAAACTTTTGTGACTGGGTGCGGTGGCTCATGCCTGTAATCCCAGCACTTTGGGAGGGCAAGGCAAGCAAGCAGATCGCCCAAGGTCAGGAGTTCAAAACCTGCCTGGCCAACACAGGAAAACCCCATCTCTACTAAAAATACAAAAATTAACTGGGTGTGGTGGTGTGCACCTCTAGTCCCAGCTACTCGGGGAAAGCTAAGCAGGAGAATCAATTGAACCCAGGAGGTGGAGGTTGTGGTGAGCTGAGATCACGCCACTGCACTCCAGCCTAGGCAACAGAGTGAGACTCTGTCTCAAAAAAAAAAAGAAAAAAGAAAATACTTTTGTCACTTCTATCATCCATCCCTTGGTTCATATTTCTGCTGTAGTTAATCCAAACAAAAATAGTAATAAATATGTAGTAAAAATTAAAAAGATACATAAGTTAAGTGGTTGTTGCTTTATTTTATTATACAGCCTTGGAATTAACATTTTATAATTTTTAAATTCAAGAACTTTTACATTTATAATCCAGCAGCAATATTCATACTAAAATGTTTCATCAGAATGCCAGTATTAAAAGGGCATATTTCTGGGATTAAGTATTGGGGTAATTTGGGGTAAAATGGAGGGTGTTCTCTATTATAGATAATTTGTAATACCATTTGGTTCCAAAAATATGTTTCTCTGTAAAAATAAAACAAATCACTAAATATAATGATTATATATAATGCTAAAACAAGGAAGATTAATATAGAATTTTTATACTGTACAGTTATCTCTTCTGATACTATAGAAGTGATTTTGGATGAAACTGCATGATCAGTTCAGAGATTGTACATTTTTTATGTGGGCCAAGAGTAAATTTCACAACACACTCTGAATTTTTCAGAAAAATCAAGTAACTCCCAACTCCCACTCTTCAATAATAATTATTATATCACACATGTTTTAAGCTTACTCTCCTCTTCCTTGCTATTAGAGTGGTCGAGAAATCTAAATAAAAATTTGTGGTATTAAAAGAAATAAAGGCAGGACCGTTACAATTCAACGCAGCATGAGAGCGTCTATTACGCACATTGGCCATGCCTGAGGGGTTCATAGAAGTCAGCTCAGCTCTGTAAGTGCCAATATTGGAAGCATCATCACCTATGTGCAAACTCCCTAGATACATTGTAGAGCCATTATTCTTCAAAGTCCTGTCACCTCCTACCTGGGTGTCATGAGGTGATGCAGTGCTATTCATGATGTGGGCTCACTAAACTCCTGGGCTTTTTACCAAAGGAAGGGATCTTCACCTCCCTCATGGCCAGCCCCTGTCATCACCTCTACTTCTCGAATTATTCCCTTGCATTCTCTCCTTTTCACAAATATCCCACAACATTTTTCCCTTCTTTCTTAAAAAGTGCATTTGCTCTTTTATTATGATACTATAGAAGTGTTGTGAATACCCTAGCAACATTGTCTACAATTTCAGAGAATGGAAAATGTTAAACAAGAAGGCAGTGTCTGAGTAAATCAAGTCAAGACAAGTTATGGAGTTAAAAAAGTTATAGAAAAACATGAAATGAAGTAAAAATGTACAATATATGTTATTCAGTGAAAATATCTCACATCTTAAACATCCACTGAGAACTGTCCCCTCACTAAATAAACTTGAAGCTCTCCTCTTATTTCCAAAATGTGGTTGGGGAATGATGCATTAAACTCAATTCATTTTTTCTCTTATGACATGTGATGTAATAAATGTATCTTCAAAGCTTACATTACATTATTATGTTAAATTATGTGAGTGTTGATAGATTCTATAGGCAAAATCTTTAAAAATTGTAAGTTTTAAACTACTAAATCTATACAGAAGGAAAAGTGTTATATGTTGAATTATCAAACTCTCAGATTGGAGAAAAGGAAGAAGAGAAGAAAGAAAGCCTGATATTAGAGGGAGGAGATGTTAATAGACATATCAGTGCAAAGATCATCAAATATATTGAAACAGAAAAACTGATGCCTCCAAATTCCTAAAGCTGTCCCATATTGCATGATGTTGTGTGTTAATATTTAACAATGTTTTAACTTTATAGATAAGGCAGTCACTGATTTCTCTACATCATCAGGTTTGGGAAGCATGTGAAATACTTGCCACAACACTATACACACTTGCCATGATAACCATGCCCATTCATCACAGCAGTCTGTAGTGCTGAATCCTAAGGAAATCTTAAAATCTATTCAACATTATTGAATAGTTCCAAGCACCTACCATTTATGGACTGGAGTCAATAATTGACTCTCCTGGATCTCTCTGTTTGCCTTGAAGAAGGCTTCATCACTTTAGTCTATGTTTCATATATCGGCACTGTGTTATTTAGGGTAGATTACACTGCTATAATGAAAAAACTCAGAAATGTATGTTGCTGGAATGCAATAGACGTTTCTTTCCTTTTTATGCAACAGTCTAAGGTGTTTATTTTTGGTTTGCAGAAGGTATTCATCCACATTAATATTCAATGATCCAAACACCTTACATTTTGTGGCTCCCTCTCAATTGCTATTTCATCATCGTCATCTTTAGCCAGACAGCAAAAACGAAGAGAGAACATAACGGAAACAAATATCTGTCTCAAACAAATATCTGTCTCAGAAATGATTCACATGACTTCCTATCACATTTTATTGATAAGGTCTAGTCAGGACTCGACTTTAAGAAAGCCTGGTGAAGGTATTTTAGCCTTGATCTCCAATGCAATCCTGAGAGATTGTAACTACAGAAGGAGAGATACAACTTGGGTGGGTGGTTAATAATCTCTATGACATGCACCACTGTCCTCTGATTGCAGTTGCTGGAATTGCAAGCACTAATTTCAGAAGACAGTACTGCATCTCCATCTTATTGAAGTGTGGTTGTAGTTTTAGGGTTTGAATGACTGAGAAGCAAGCACAGGGACATATTTCAAGATACACAAAAAATAAGGATAAAAATGAATCTTTTTATTTCAGGAAATATATTGATATTCACTGTGCCGCAGGGTCAAAATCTCACACTTGAATAGATGGGAGGAACAATTATTTTCTAAAAATTATATGAAAATTAAACTGCCAAATTTGCACTAAAATAGACATTTGTAAAAACTGCTTGCAATGGGAATAAATCTGAAGGAAAGAAAAATGCTTTATACAGTAGCCCCCATCCCTTATAGAAGGTTTCACTTTCTGCAGTTTCAGTTGCCCATAGATAAATGCATTCCAAAAACAGTAAATGAAAATAATTCCAGAAATAAATAATTTGTAAGTTTTAAATTTCATACCATTCTGAGTAGTGTGATGAAATCTCACGCTGTCCCACTCCATCTCATCTGAAGTCTTTGCCCATGCCTATGTCCTGAATGCTATTGCCTAGGTTTTCTTCTAGGGTTTTTATAGTTTTAGGTTTTACATTTAAGTCTTTAATCCATCTAGAGTTAATTTTTGTGTAAAGTGTAAGGAAGGGGTTCAGTTTCAGTTTTCTGCATATGTCTAGTTTTTCCTGCATCTCAGCAGGGATGGAAACCATCCCTTTGTCCATGCCATATATGCTACCCATCCCTTTGTCACTTAGCAGCTGTCTTAGTTATCAGATAAGAAGAAACCTCATATATAGGGTTTGGCGGCTTCAGGCATCCACTGGGAGTCTGGGAACATCAAGGGGAGACTACTTTATTTACCTTAATACATGTGAGAAATGCCAAACCATAGAATGTTTCTTATTTTCCATTTTTGACTCCATATGTTTCAATATTTACATTTTGGGATCTGAGAGTGAGACAGATGTAGTTACATTTTTGAAGCCAAGAAAGTCATTATCTTCGAAACAACAAAATGCAAGTCCAAAAATAATTATAAATATACCTGTCATCTGGCTTGTCCAGGCAAAGAAGGGCTGAAAAGCAATATAAAAGCATAAAAGCAGCTTATCATTCATTGAAGTTCATTGAGATCTCCACAGTGCTGGCTTACAAGTCTGTGCATAGCATTATACACAAGACAAATAAGATCTCACAATGTTTCCTTGTCCCATTTTTTTTTTCTCTCAGGCCTTCTATTAGTTTTATAAAATACAAACACACACCCACAGTCAAATGCAGTCCAAGTTTTACGGCAGAATCAAAATATACACTGGAAAATTCAGCAATTAACATATCGTTGCACATAAGACTCTAAAACCACCAGAACACTCCAAAACTGAGCCCTGTCCTCAATCTTCTGTTTGCCTATTACCATAAAAACATTTCTTCATCCAGTAGAACAATCTAACCATTTAAGACTCTCACGAAGGAAACAGCAAACATTTTTAATCTGCAAGTCTTCAATATTTGATTACAACTATAACCAATGATAGCATTGATTATAGTTATAAAGTAATCTACACAAAAGGATTGCTGTGAGAATTATAAGGATACAAAAGTCTAGATCAGTGTCCCTTGGCTGTCAAACAGAAAGCACCTGATAAATATCAGCAACTGTGGAATATGAGAAAATATTTATAAAAATGGAAGTAATATACTAGCTTTTATTTTCAAATGTTAAAAATACAAAGGCAGATTTAATATATGTTCTCAGAACAGCAAAATGAATGATAATTATTCCAATGTTCTCCAGTCACCAATTATTAAGTGACTGGAGAGATAAGTGTAGCTATTAATACTGCACAGCTTCCGTTCTTTCCTGTGCACTTTGATCTAACAGATGATGATTTGTAATGGCACAACCTCAACACCCTCCCACCTGTAGTTTATTAGGAAATCAGCCAAGTAACAGTATTGCTTAGTTACTCACAGCAGGGAGGTAGACACACAAAGGGTCAATTTTTGTCATTTCACAGGTGACACCTTCATCCAGAAATCACGCTCAGCACTTGCACTGCCCTCATTCACACAGGACTTAGCCGGTGATATGTAAATGAAGTATCCTGGTGGGCAAATGCCACTTTCTATTTAAAAACTCTGGGTTCATGGGTTATTGTATAGATTTTGAAAGAGATGTAAGAATGAATTATTCTTGCACAGTGTGTGTTTGCTAAGTTTATGCTTTAGGAGAGTAAAACACATTATATATCTTCCCTTACTCTTTTTTTACACACTATTTAAACTTCACGTAAAGATGGAGTCTTTGGAGATGTTTTTAAAACATGTGAACAACCATATAAATACTTATGCAGCTACAGGAGAGAAGCTATTAGGTTGTGTCTGTATTGAAAAATGTGGGGAAAAAATAATTCCAGGACCGAAATTTCAGTTGTCATGGAGGCTTTGCACTGATTTGTTAGTTTCATTTATTGAACTATAATCAGTCTGTACTGGTATCAAAATGCCATCACGATAAAATAGTACTATAGAAGCAGAGACATTTCTATGGTTATATGTTTAATATTCTGTTATCATTGAATTCATGTAAGAACTCAGAAACAATACACAAAGAAGCACCAGGAGCAACGGAAAAATGAATTATTTCAAACCAAAAACCAGATTTCAAAGTCCAGTGTGCCTGTTAATATTTTGTAGAAATTTAACATATACTCAGTGAGTGTTTCTGTGGCAAACCAAATAGATATACACTAAGTGATGTGTATTTGAAAAGGATCTAAGATAATGTATCATCAAATTCTTTTCTTGTGAAATCTGTTTCAATTCCTAGACAGTACTCTTCTCATTATAGTTAAAATTCCAAAATCAAGAGTAGAGGTTTTTGTGGGTTTTTTTTTGTTTGTTTGAAAGACATTACATCTAGTATCATTGGTAGTATCATTTAGAAAGTTTTTTTTTTGTTTGTTTGTTTTTTTGATGAAGTTTCGCTCTTGTTGCCCAGGCTGGAGTGCAATGGCACGATCTTGGCTCACTGCAACCTCTGCCTCCCAGGTTCAAGAGAGTCTCCTGCTTCAGCCTCCTGAGTAGCTGGGATTATAGGCATAAGCCACCACACCCAGCTAATTTTGTATTTTTCGTAGAGACGGGGTTTCTCCATGTTGGTCAGGCCGGTCTCGAACTCCTGACCTCAGGTGATACACCCACCTCGGCCTCCCAAAGTGTTGGGATTACAGGCATGAGCCACTGTGCCCGGCCAGAAACTTTTAATACTCCTACATATTTTTTTCTTCTAAAATTGTTTTACTTTTTCCATAAGAAAAATGGAATTATTCCTTACTCCTCTTTATAATTATTTATCTGGTCATCTCTTTTTTAATTGCAAAATCACAAAAGTGACAAATTCTTCATAGCTTGGTATTCACAGGCTTCAATAGAAGTTTCAGTAGTTTCATGACAGAAAATCAAATATAAATATGATAAACTTCACATATGAAAAAAACCAACCTAGTCTAAACTGAATGTGTGATAGCAATATTTGATACATATTCACATATCTTAGCAAAGGTTGAGAACAGAAAATAATTCTCGTAGGGTTCTCCAGAAAAACAGACTTCAAAAATATGATTTATTATAAGTAATTGGTTCACACAATCATGGAGGCTGAGAATTTCCAATAAAGTAAATAATTAACTGTAGAAATAATGTAAAATAATTATCTATACAAAATGTACCAAAAAATGCAATGTTGACGTATGTCTACTGTACAGAAACAAAGTAGGTGAAAGACAGAGAAAGCTGCACTAGAAACTTTTGAGAAGAACAAAAAAGTTTATAGATATTATATAAATCAGTGAAAATAAGTGTGAGAAATAGGAGATTTAAAATAAAACAGAAAAACCAATAATTAAATTATGATTTTAGTGTTATTTTAAACTTCATAATGCTCTTGATTTTATATTTAAACAGTTCCTAAAAAAAAAAAACCTAGAGAGCTGCACCTGGAAATCTCTAGATGCCCTGATGCATGCTTGCTTTTGCTTTCTTTCTCCTTCTTCACCATATTATTTTTATTAAAGTCTTACACTAATATACCCAGAGGAGACTTGTGAACTCATTCACTTATCTAACCCTATGTAATTGATGCTATCTTTTTAGATAGTCTACTACAACTCACTATTTTTTAAAAATGACACAATATATCCATCCATTTCTAAAACTCACACAAAATGGTAGCTCCTGGTAGACCACTTAAAATCTAACAACAAATTTTTGGTTTAAACCTAAACTTTTCATTTTCTATTAGATGGAGAGGGTTGTAAGTACCTGCCTTTTCTTATGAATGCTAATTTTACTACTGATGGTACTACTAGTAATTACAATGGCTAAGATTTATTGAGTGTTTAGTATGGACCCAACATTTATATGCAGCATTTCATTTAGTTGTCACAAAAATCATATGAGATAAGCAATACTGTTATTATTTATAAAATTCTGAATATTATATATAAATTCTCCAAACACATCAATATTCCAATATCAATACACTTTGCTATGTACCTCCATATGCTAAATATAACTGTCTCTCCACAGTCATATTTTGATGCATTTGTATTTAACAGGCTAATAGACTTTGTAAATTTGTCTTTACTAAATGATGTTGCCATGGGATATTTCTGCTGCATTTTTTCCTTTAGACAGCTTGAGAAGAATAAATTCTTCCCTTAGAATATGCAAAACAAAGTTTTGTTTTTCTAAGGTATATTTTATTCAAGTAATTTTTTTCTACATCTGTGATTTATATTTAAATAAATTCAATATTAAACTGTCGTGTGATTTAGAGCCCTGATTGTACAGACAGAAGGAAGGGCCTCCACCTCTAGAATACAGATCTCATTCAGGGCGCGGTGGCTCACGCCTGGAATCCCAGCACTTTGGAAGGCTGAAGTGGGTGGATCATCTGAGGTCAGGAATTCGAGACCCGCCTGGCCAACTTGGTGAAACCCTGTCTCTACTAAAAATACAAGAAATTAGCCGGGCGTGGTGGCTGTCGCCTGTAATCTCAGCTACTCTGGAGGCTGAGGCAGGAGAATGGCGTGAACCTGGGAGGTGGAGCTTGCCGAGATCCACCCCCATTGGTGAGCCGAGATCGCGCCATTGTACTCCAGCCTGGGCAACAGAGCGAAACTCCGTCTCAAAAAAAAAAAAGAAAGAAAGACAAAAAAAACCAGAACTCCTTTAGAAACCATCCTTTCTTTGTATACGGGCTGTCTTTCCTTTACAGTATCCTTAAAGTGAAACCTTATTTTCTTTATCCTTACCTTAAAAGGCATATTTTTTATTATTCAATTTCTCAAAATATTTTATACTAAATTTTTGGAAAACATTTCACCTGGGCTAAAGATATTTGTCTCCCTTGAATTTTCAAGTGGTTTGTTTCAGGAGAAAAAACATTTATGGCTGTGCGGATTCTTTCTGTACTTCTGGGAGACATTTGTGTATCCTGGAATTGACGACAACATTCCCATTCAAAAGAATTTTGGGAAAAGCAGTTCTGGTCATGCATAGCAAGCATTACACAGACTATGCATAAAACTAACGAATGAATTCATTGTCTCATGAACAATAAGCCTAGGCAGATAAGAGGAACTGGGACTCCTTGGAGAAAGAGTTGATTCTAGGCGTAGAACTAGGACAGATTAAAGATGAGCCTGGAGCATCTTACAGTGTTATAAAATTAGGAAGTTCTCGAAATACTGTCACAAACACACACACTGATAAAGGTGTCAAAGGGATGAAGAAACTAACTAAAAGTGCCCCAAATGGCCAAAGCTAGAAAAATGTGAGCAAAAAATTAGATAACATAAACAGCTCTGAGTTAATAGTACATAAATTAATAATAAATAAACATATAAAGCAGAAGAAAGGATAAATTTCCCATGCAGAAGAATTCCCACTAATTCATATAGATACTCCATCCTCCAAAAGGTTGAGTAGAACATCCAGCTCCTTAAGTGTGAGCTGTGCATTGTGACATCTTTCCAAATAGTACAGTGTAGAAACAGTAGCAAAAAGAGTAATTTCACAAGGAAAAAACCTGACAAACACTATTTTATCTCAGTGATCAAGGTCAACATCAACAGAGAAGTCATGCTGGTAGTATGAACCCTCGTTTAAATGTTACAAAATAGCATTTTGCCCTTATGGTCTTCTTTCCCAAAACCCATAACTTCAATCCAAACATGAGAAAAACATTAGACAAATCTCAACAGAGGGACGTTTTGCAATAGTATTCCTTAAGACTACCATTGGTGGCTAATGGTATACAGAGACACCTAAGAAGAGCATACAAATGCCAAATAAAATAATAAGAAGTACTTGCCTTATATCAATTTACTAAAGACTTAAGAAAAATCATATTCAATGATTGCAAATAGCAAAATAAGTTGACCCAAACACTGGAACAAGAGACGTAAACTGTTTACAACTTCTGACTCAGTTAGTTAATTTTATGAATGTATTTATTTTGAGACAGAATCTTGCCCTGTCAGCCAGCCTGGAGTGCAGTAGCACGATCATGGATCACTTCAGCCTCAAATTCCTGAGCTCACATGATCCTCCTACCTCAGCCTCCCAAGTAGCTAGGATTACAGGCAAGCACCACCATGACTGGCTAATTTTATTTATTTATTTTTGTAGAGAGGGGCCTCCCCCTATGTTGCCCAGGCTGGTCTCAAACTCCTGTGCTCAAGCTGTCCTCCAGGCTGGGCTTCCAAAAGTGCTGGAATTACAGACATGAGCAACAGCGCTTGGCCAAGTTAATTTTAAAATACTGGTAATTTGCCTTTAAAAATGTATGTTTAGTAAAGGGGGAAGAAGCTTCTTGGTATGTCCTCTAAATGAAATACTACCACTATGATATGTAATAATGTAAGCATTTCAAATAAATATATGATAATGAGAAAATAATACTCATAGTATCAAAAAAGATATAAACTCTATTCATTTAAAAATGCAAGGCAATACCAAACATTTAATAATAATTTTCTACTGGAATTAGCTGCCGAAGATTTTTAAAAATCTTCCTGCTTCTCTGAGGACTCAAATTTTTAACTAATTGTTATATTTATAATAAGATAACTAATATTTAAAAGTATTCATATAATATGATAAAATACATTGATAGATATAGCATATAATCGGGTGGATATTGTCTTGCCTTAAAAAGTTAAAAGTAAAATTAAAGAAAAGAAAACACTGAGCAAATCAAAGAAAATAGATATTCTTCTGATTAGGAGACTTCCTTTAACATTTTTTTACTCACATAAAACAAAAATTAAATGTTGGTTTCTGGCTAAATACAAAGATTTCAGAACATTACACAAATAGTGAGTTCATTTCCATTTCCCAACTTATACTCCAAAGAAAGGAAAAGAATGATGAAGTAGATACTGATGGTTGTAAAAGAAATAATCTAGATTGGCATTATTCCAATATCCTAATTGAAAATAAGACTCATAAGAGATTACTGTATTGAGTAAGGGTGCACCTGAAAGTAGTTTTCAGGACATATGTGTAGTGGGAAGCAACTAATAAGGAAATGTCTTTTCTAAGAATCATTTATGACCTTTCAAATATCCAAGCATAGGAATCGGTATATATACAAATGAGACAGTATGAGCAAGCTGCCTTTGCTTCTAAAAGGACATATAGATACAGAGATGGAAAGGCGGGGTGGGGGGCGGAGAAAAAGAGAGAGAGAGAGAGATTCATAGACAATTGGAGTTGTTTGGAGGTACAGATAACCGGAATCAAAAGATAACATATCCATTGACATGGAACCCAGAAAGAGTTTCTTCTGAGAAAACAATTTATAAGAATCACCCTGAGAACTACAAGAATATCTTCATAAATTGTGTAAACAATTATAAATATATAACATTCTATTCTTCAAGTAAAATATAGTGAGAATGAGGGTTACAGAGTGAGAAATAGAAAAGAAAGTATTTTTTTTCCTTCAGAAGATATATTAAAATAACATTTAAAAAAAATACCTACATATTTTGGAAAATTGCAGTCTATATAATAATGCTGATTCAATAAGAAGTTTTATAGAAATTCCACATATCAGAGAAAATGCAGTTAAATCTAAATAGTAAAATTGATAATAACGATGTCACACTAATAAGAATACATGAAGCCAGGCTTGTACACCTGACTGTAATTACATCACTAACACCTGAAGAAATGAAAGTTGATTAATGAGAAACAGATGCTAATTTTGAAGCCTGCAAATTCAAATATATTTAATAATGTGAAGATGTGGTATGCAAATGAAGCATTAGAGGCACTATATGCCATGGATTTTATTCTTTTCTTTATATAAGAAAATAATAAAACTAACATGTTTTAAAGAATTGCTATAGAATATAGCATGATAAAAAATGGATCAAAATTAACATAAGTTGAAGTGCAGTTTTAATTTTTAGCTAATTGAAGTCTATTTAGTAATGATAATCTAAACTAATAATTTCATAGCTACAAGAAATGTTAATATAGTTCCTTTTGTTATGCCAATTTTATTAATTACAAATTTGTTCATAAAACTAGTTTGAATCTTAGCCTACAAGAAAAGGTTGAGATAAAATATGAAATTACCATTTGATAAGAAGTGCAGATTCTGCATGTGACTGAAGATTCAACAAGCCACATCAACACGGGGGCAAGAATATTTCATGGTAATTAAGCATTAGTATAATAGTAAATTTCATTTGGGTAGAAGAAGATATTATTAACTCTGATTTTGTTTATGTTTAATCACTCAACAAAGTTATTTCTTAAATTCAGCAAAGGCCCTTCACTTCTCCAAGATCTTAAGGTACATGACACTAACCTACTTTTCAACCTCAGACTAACACCTGCAATTACGATATTACTCTGTATCATTTACATCATTACACTATGTAGATGAGCTTACAGAACACCAACTAGGATATGTTACTCCTTGAGCACCTTTACTACAATTTTATTTCTAGTATCAGGAACTTGAAGCACCCATGCTACAAGTATTAAAGAGGGAAAAAAATAAAATTGTAATAATCCAGAGCAACCTTTGAAATAATTCATTGAAGAAACTTGACTCACTAGGCATAGGAAGTGTTATATATAATCAAGTCAAGTTAAAGGAAAAAATAGTATTAGAAAATGTATTCAGTTTCTCCAGTGCTTTGAATAGTCAACATCTATTAAAGAACAAAAGAATGTCCTTCAGATAAAGGTCCCTGCTTTCCTGGAGGCAATAAAATGCATGACACACAAGCAGTGATGAATTTCTGAGACTCCTAGAGAACACCAAGTCCTTGTAGTCTTTTCACATTTTGTCCTTTTTAAAACATTAGCTCTACATTTATGTCAATTTCCTTCTGAATTTAGTGAGGTTATTTAAAATACCCTTAAATATTTAATATAAGACTAAAATCATAAAATATATTTCCTTGGGAGACCATTTTAGTCGCGGCAAGGGAGGCCACGTCTATTAAGAATCTTTCATTCCAATGATGTCATCAGAGGAAAAAAAAGCATGCTATTTGTTGGGAAGAAATATCACTTCCAAGAAAATAAAAATAATTGCTTTACCAATAAAAGTAATTGCTTTATCAGCTTCTTTAGCCGTTTGATGTTTCATATATCTTTTCCTACAGCAATAGTATATATCAGGAATTTTTAACATTGAATCAAAACATAGCACATCAACCCCGTCCGTTTTTACCAAAGGCAGTAAATCTGAAGCCACTTGTAGAGTCTATTTTTTTCCTAGCATAATAAAAATAAAAAATAAATACTTCATTTTATTCCAACAAAGGAAAAAAAGATCATTTACCTCTAGTGATTGAAGTTAGCATTTCAAGTAAATTCTACAACAAAATATACCCTAAGGACAGGGTTGACAATCACAAAACAAAAACATGCAACAATTCACCAATCATATTAACTGTAACTCACGTATCTCAATGTTACTGTAACCAAACCACGTGGATCTACATGGTAGAAGATGCACAATAAAGCACAGAATTCCTCCAGGGATTAATTAAAATTAACTGCCTCCACATAAAGACTGGATTATAGGAAATAAAGTTGCTGAATAGACAGCAATGGGAAATTCTCTTTATTATGTGCAGAGAAACTAGAACACTAGAAACTCGTGTTTTACAGGGTGCACATCAGAGACAGAAATGAATAGTTTTGGTGAGGCATGTGGGTTTGTTTAACCTTTCCTAAAGAAATACAAGCCTCTGAAAGATTCTCCAAAACTGCCTTTTTGCTTTATTTCCCAATTAGTATACACTAATTGAATAAGTGTCTTATTTTTAGGGCAACTTATTAAATTTCATTAATTTACTTTTGAACTCAGTCTTCCTAGGCCAACTCAAATTCAGATCTTCATTTTTATCTGTGCCATAAACACTATTAACTGCTTTAATTCAGTACAAATGATCAAGACAGCCTTAATATTCTGCTCTGTTTGACTGAACTTTAGACAGATTTCTTTCTGACTGTAGCCCTCCCCCTACCTCCTTCTTGTTAGAGCAGTTACTTAAAAAAAAAAAAATTGGCAATTGTAAATTCTTTCTTTGCTCCTTTGAGATATTAATCTCCCATCCTTTTGCCAGTTTTACAACCCAGGAATGTTTTTTTAGAGGATCTGGGAGCCATCCGTTTGAAATATAATCATCAAGAGAGACAGGGTCCCTATCTCCCAGTCTCTGCGGGAAGGTAGGAGCCTAAATTCAAGTGCCACTTAGCAAACACTGATGGCATGATCACATCGATCAACCTCATCTTATAGTCCTCCGGCACTTTTTCATTAGCTCATCTTAGTGCTTAAGACTTTCCAGTGCTTCAAACTCTCCCACCTTTTCTTTCAAGAGAGTTGAATTCAATCTCTGTCCCCTATTACAATAGTCTTAAATTATTCTCTGCCTGTTTAAATCCATCTGATGCAAGTTTTCTTTGATACATCAAAAGCTGCTAAACAAATGAGAGAAATTACTTGGACTATAGAGGGACAAAAACAGGTGATGGTAGCTTTTCTTAATTGTAAATAAGAATGATTTCGTCTGGATGTCAAATGACACAGAAAGAAAATGGGCAGTCATTAAATGTAAAACATCAGCAGTAGCAACTGATTTTCCACAATTCTTTCCTAGGGTAAGAACCAATATCTACCAATACTTTTAATACGATGCGGCATATATAAGGTGATAACAAATATTTCTGAATTGCAGAATGTGCGAATAAAGAAATCAAGAAGGCAAAATATATAAAGCCCACTTTCCCCTAAAAAAAATTCATGTGGGAAATATTTTTCTAGCATCTCCTTGTTTTTCCCTATATTTTGCTCTGCCTTTTTTCTTTTCACGTCGCAAACTAATTTGATTCTCTTGAACTTTTATTTCCACAAATAATTGAAGAAAGAGAAGAACTGAAGCCAGTAGCAATAACAAGTTTGAAAGGCAAATTGCTGTATTCACATTCTTCTAGAAAAATGTCTAACACCGGTTTCTATACAAAATCCATCCCATATTTTCCAGGTATATTCTTAAGCAAGATTTCTTTTAAAAAGTTATTAAACAACTCACCAGATTTTTATGAGTGGAAATTTATCATGTAATAAGACTATGAAATAATCTGTCTCCCAAAAACCAAACCAGAACACAAATCTATACCTCTATGAAAAGGCACATAAATTCAAAGGAAGAATTCAAATATTATTTTCTTTACAATGGAATTGACAAATCTACAATTCTGTTTGAATATTTCAATTTGTCTGAATTACAGATGTAATTCTGTATTTAGTTCTATAATTAGCTCTGTGTGTACTGAGCTAATTCATATGTAATGCCAATAATTATGTTTGTACAGAATGGCATGTAAAGATCGAGATTTTCTGTAAGCACTTCCAAAGATTTGTAATATAACTGCATATTTCCCATATTAAGAATAATTCACATTTGTTATCTATCAAAACAAATATTCAATCTTTAAATTAATACAGCTACCAATGTAAAAGGACAATAAAAAGCTTTTAAAATTCATGTAGTAAAAAGCAATGTTGTATATATATGTATATATGAATATAAATAAATCATATATATATGAATCCTATTGTTTCCTAATACAGAGTGAGATATGAGAGGAGCAATACCCTGGACACTACATTTTGGTACATGCATTTTAAATGTTATTTTATTACTACTTAGCAACCAATTATAATACTTACCATATATGACCTGTATTTTTAAGTTTATACACACACAGAAGGAGAGAATCCTCAAATAGTACAGCTAAATACATGTAAATTAACATATTTTGCAAATGTAAGTGAATGCAATAATGGAGTAAAGATCCACACAGGAAAAAATGGGTCTGTGTAGGTAGGTGTGGCATGCAATAATGATGTCTAAAAAATGAAAATATAGTGTAGTCTCCTTTCCAAATTTCTGTATATCATTTTAAATCCAATTTTGGACCAGAAAAAGCATTGTGAAATCCTAGATATGGCCATTCCTTGAGATTGTGAAAGTTTGATTACAGTTTATGTAGTAGGCAATGAAATGTTCAAGACGAAAAGAATATGTGTGACTTGAGTACTGAGTTGAGAAAGCAACTTTTTGAAGAGGTTGAAGCTTAAACATCATTTCACAAAATAAAGAATTAATTTATTTGGTGACATGAAGCCCAAGTACAGAAGAAAATCTACAACCACATATTGTATGAATGTCTATGGAAATAGGAGATAGACCCTCTCTATTTTATTTTCCTATTTTATCAATACAACTCTAGCTGTTTCAAAAATTGCTATGTTTTACCTAAACTTGTATTCCACAGGCATCTGCCACTAAATTTTATAAATTTTTCATCTTTCTGGCTTATTGTAATACTATAACAATAAATCAATTAGGTAGCCACAGTTAGATGAAAACATAATGTTAGGGAAATTTCAGAACTGATTTAAAAACTATGAGTCTTTAGATTTGGAGTGCTCAAAGTGTCTCAACCACAGCAAAGATAAAGAAATCTACATCTGAATAACTGAGACTGAAATAGCTTATTACCAAAACAAAGGGAATATTCTAAAAGTAGCTAGAGAGAAAAGATTATTTGTAAAAATGCAACAATAAGACTGATTTGTTAACAACCATGAAAAATAGAAGATGGTGAAACAGTATTTTAAGGGTGCTGAGAAAAAAAAAAGTGGTGCATCTAGAATATACTTTTAATACAACCACCTTTCAGGAACAAGAATAAAATAGACACATTTTCAGACAAGCAACAAATAAGAGATTTAGCAGAAATAAAACCTCACTAAGCAAAATTCTAAAGGATGTTATTAAGGCAGAAGTAAAATGACCAAGAGGGAAAGTCTGCAATACAAGAAAAAATAATGAGGAAAAAAAGCCCTGGTAATGTGTATGTGTGTATATATACATAAATATATAATATTTGGTAATATATACATTATTGAATAATAAACACATTAGGAGAAAAGTCATCATAGTTATATTGTTACATAGAAAAGCTAAACTCCATTTATACTTTGTTAAAATTACTATGCATAATAAAATATTTTTCCTTAAAGTAATACAAATACCACATATAACGTCCAAATTAGCAGAAGAAAAATAGTGAGGTAAGAAAAAAAGAAATAATAGAATTAATCCAAAATAAAGCAAAGAAAAACTACATAACTCTATGCATCTGTTCTCATGCTGCTAATAAAGACATACCCAAGACTGGGTAATTTATAAAGGAAAGATGTTTAATTGATTCACAGTTTAGCATGGCTGGGCAGGCCTCAGGAAACTTAAAATCATGGCAGAAGGAGAAGCAAGCATGTCTTCTTCACATCATGGTAGGAAAGAGAATGAGTGCAAAGTAAATGGGGAAAAGCCTCTTATAAAACCGTCAGATCTTGTGAGAACTCACTCACTATCACGAGAGCAGGATCAAGGAAACTGCCCCAGTGATTAAATTATCTCCCTCTGGTCCCTCCTATGACAGCTGGGGATTAGGAAAACTACAATTCAAGATGAGATTTGGGTGAGGAGACAGCCAAAGCATATCTTTCCCCTCAGCCCCTCCCAAATCTGATGTCCTCACATTTCAAAACACAATCGTGCATTTTCAACAGTTCCCAAAAGTCTTAACTCATTCCAGCATTAACCCAAAAGTCCAAGTCCAAAGTTTCATCTAAGACAAGGCAAGTCTCTTTCACCTATGAGCCAGCAAACTCAAAATAAAGTTAGTTACTTCCCAGATACAATGAGGGTACAGGTGTTAGGTAAATATGCCCATTTCAAATGGGAGAAATTAGCCAAAACAAAGAGGCTACAGGGCCCATGCAAGTCCAAAATCTAACAGGACAGTCACTAAAACTTAAAGTTCCAAAGCAACCTCCTTTGACTCCATGTCTCACATCCAGGTCACTCTGATGCAAGAAGCAGGCTCCCATGACCTTGTTCAGCTCTGCCCCTGTGGCTTTGCAGGGTACAGCCCCTTCCTTGCTGCTTTAACAAGCTGGTGTTGAGTGTCTGCAGTCTTTCCAGGTACACAGTGCAAGCTGTCAGCTGATCTACAATTCTGGGGTCTGGAGGATGCTGGCCCTCTTTTCACAGCTCTGCTAGGCAGTGCCCCAGTGGGGACTTCGTGTGGGGGCTCCAGCCCCACATTTCCCTTCCACACTGCCCTAGCAGAGGTTCTTCATGTGGGCTCCACCTCTGTAGCAAACCTCTACCTGGATTTCCAGGCATTTCCATACATCCTCTGAAATCTAGGCTGAGGTTCCTAAACCTCAATTCTTGACTTCTATGCATCCACAGGCTCAACATGATATGTATGTCACCAAGGCTTAGAACTTACACCCATGGAGATATACTGTGGCCCCATTTAGCCATGGCTGGAGGTAAAGCAGCTGAGATGCAGGGCACCATGTCCTGAGGCTGCACAGAGCACAGGTCCCTGGGCCAGGCCCACAGAACCATTTTTTGGTCTTATGCCTCTGACATCTGTGTTGAGAGTGGCTGCTGTAAAGGTCTCTGACATGCCCTGGAGACATTTTCCCCATTGTCTTGGTGATTAGCATTTGGCTCCTTGTTACTTATGCAAATTCTTATAGTCAGCTTGAATTTCAACTTTTCTATTGCATCATCAGTCTGAAAATTTTCATAACTTGTGTGCTCTGCTTCCTCTTAAATGCTTTGTCACTTAGACATTTCTTCCATCAGATTCCTTAAATCATCTCTCTCAAGTTCAAAGTTCCACAAATCTCTAAGGCAGGGGCAAAATGTCACCAGTCTCTTTGCTAAAACATAAAAGGAATCACCTTTATTCCAGTTGCCAAAAGTGTCTTATCTCCATCTGAAACCACCTCAGGCTGGACTTCATTGTCCCTATCACTATCAGCATTTTGGTCAAAGCCATTCAACAAGTCTCTAGGATGATCCAAACTTTCCCACATCTTCCTGACTTCTGAGCCCTCCAGGTCTCTAAGAAGTTTCACACTTTCCCATATTTTCCTGTCTTCTTGTGAACCTTCCAAACTGTTCCAACCTCTGGCTGTTACCCAGTTCCAATGTCACTTCCACTTTGTCGGGTATCTTTACAGAAGCACCCTATTACCCCATACCAACTTACTGTAATAGTTCATTCTCACACTGCTATGAAGAAATATACCTGAGATGGGGTAATTTATAAAGGAAAGAGATTTAATTGACTCATATTTCCTCATTGCTGGGGAGGTCTCAGAAAACTTGCAATCATGGGAGAAGGGCAAGCAAACATGTCCATCTTCACACTGTGGCAGGAAAGAGAATGAGCACTGCACAAAGGGGAAAAAAAACCCCTTATGAAACCATCAGACCTCATGAGAACTCACTCACTGTCATGAGAACAGCAGCATGGGAGTGACTGCCTTCATGATTCAATTACCTCTCACTATGTCCCTCCCATGATACCTGGGGATTATGGGAACAGCAATTCAAGACAAAATTTGAATGAGGACACAGCCAAACCATATCAACAACTCTATAGCACAAAAGGAAACCAAGAAATAAAATAGGCTTGAATCAAATATTTCAGTAATTATTATAAATATAAGTGAGTAACCTCTTTAGTTAAAATACAAGAATTTAAGACCATATTTTTAAAAATTGGAAATATGTTCATTATGTGAAATATACCTGTATTATACAGATACAGGCAGACTTTTTGAAATATAGAAAAACATAAATTCTAGTTAAAAGTATGCAGGTATAATCATCTTAATATTACAACAAATTGTATTGGCTTGAGGGGAAGTCACTATATAATAACTTATAAAGAATGAATAAAATGAATTCCTCCTCCATACCATAAAAACTTCCTATGGATTAAGGACAAGTATAAAAAGCAAAACTATTAAACTTTTATAAACAATATGCGATGTAACTGTAAACTGTGGTAAAGAAAGTTTTTCTACATAAAAAGTACAAAATATAGAGAAAAAGACATGAATTTGAATAACTAAAACTAAGAATTTCTATTAATCAAAAAAAAACACAAAGAACATGGAAAGATAAGCCACAAAATAAGAAAATATTTGTAATGCATAAAACTTACAGGAAAACAAATATCTAGGATGTATATTTTGAAACCCTAAATATTAAAAACAAGACCAAAATTTTTAAAAAAGAGTGAGCAACAAATTTAACAAGCACTTCATAAAAAAGTAAAAAAAATGTACAGTACACATTAATCATATGCAATAAATATGTTCCCACCTGCCCCAAAAATACTTGCCCATGGTCCTTGTGACTACAGTGTTTACCCCAAGATAACTCTGTCACAAAATATAACACTTTTATTATTATTTTTGCATTGCTCTAATATATCAACTTTGCAAACAAAAGACATTATTTTATTTATACCATTCTGCTTTCAGTATTGGTATCTCCACTTACTATATATAATAATTCTCAATTGCTGAAAATGTCAAATCCTGGAAAATGTAGCATTCTTAGTGTGGTGTTAACATCATTCTCAAACAGTTAGCCAAAGATTCATTTGACTAATCTGATATTTCCAAAATAGGTGATCCCAATGATTCAGATGATTCTGATGTTAGTTCTGTTAGCTGTTGGGATCAACAAGAGACAAACCAGGTTCAAAGTATAGCTGTTTCTAAAAGTGGGTGGTAAATACACAGATGTTTGTTTTATAATTTTTATTTATATTTTATCTCTGTCATTTAAAAATGTGTAACATACAGTCAAATGCCACATAACTTTTCAGTCAATGACAAGTACCATATATGATTGTGTTCTCATAAGATTATAATACAATATTTGTCCTGTATATTTTCTATGTATCCCTGTCATTAATGAAATGTGATCTATGTATATGTGTGTGGATGGAGTGTGTGCCCTGGAGTACCAGTACCAGCATCATAGCTCCAGTAGAGGTTGCATTGCAGGGCCTGAGAGGAATAAGATTTCTCCACACCCCCTCACTGGATGGGGCTGTGAACCAGCTTTCAGCCCAGTGGTCTCACTTTGACCTAAACTTTGTTGGCAGCTGCAGCCTCCTGTTGTCCTGGGAAGCACTTGGATGGCAGAATGATAGGCCCCACCCACCCCCCCCCCCACTGGTAGCCAGGTGGGCAATGCTTGCTAGAGCTTCCAGCCCAGCAGTCCCACTTCTCTGTGAACTCAGCCAGTGGGCACTGTCTCTTGTTGTCCTGGGAAGCACCCAGACAGCAGGGCCGGAGATCCGACCTACCCCTGCCACTGGTAGCCAGGAGGGCAATGCTTGCTAGAGCTTCTGGCCCAGCTGTCCCACTTCTGCCTGAACTTGGTGTAACCACAGCTTCCTGCTGTCCCAGGAAGCACATGAACAGCATGATGGAAGACCTTATCAACCCTTGCCACTGGTAGCCAGGCAGGCAATACTTGCAAGAGCTTCCAGCTCAGTAGCCTCACTTTTGTGTAAGTTCAGCCAGTGAGCACAGTCTCCTGCTTTTCCATTAGCACCCAGAGAGCAGGGAAGGAGACCTCACCCACTCCTGCCGCTGATAACCAGGTAGGCAACACTTGCTAGAGCTTCTGGCCCAGCAGTACTACTTCTGCCTGAACTTGGTGTAGCCACAGCCTCCTGCTGTCCTGGAAGCACTCAGAGGGCAGGGCAGGAGACCCCATCCATTCTGACTGCTGGTAGCCAGGCAGCCTATGCCTGCTAGAGCTTCTGGCCCAGCAGTCCCACTTCCATGCAAACTCTACCAGAAGGCACAGCCTTCTGTTGTCCCAGGAAACACTCAGATGACAGAGAAGGTGACCCTGCCTACCCCTGCTATTGGGAGACAGGCAGGCAACTCCTGTAGGACAAACTTCCAGGCCAGTGATCCCTCTTCTGCCTAAACTCTGCATACAGACACAACCCAATGTTCTCTCAGGAAGCACTCAGACAGCAGATTTGGCTGACCCAGCAAAGATATGGCATATATGCAAACTGTGCGTCCTACCTGAGGGAGCCCCATGGACAAGCACACTCAACAAAAGAAATGCAGGGATAAAGAAAGTAATTGAAGGGGACTCCTCCAAGAGCCAGGAGGAGAGTAGAATTGAAGTCAGTCTACTGAACCCACCTTTTACCACAATGAAATCCCCAGGGGCATAAAAAAAAATCCAAAGGACAGCAACTTTAAAGATTGTAGGAATATCTATCCACACAGATGAGGGGGAAAAAAAAGGCAAGAATGCTAGCAACTCAAAAATCCAGAACCTTCAAATGACCACACTAGTTCCCCAGCAATGGTTCTTAGCCAGGCTGAAGTGGCTCAAATGGCAGAAATAGAATACAGAATATGGGTATGAATGAAAATCAGTGACATCAAGGAGAAACTTGAAACCCAAGTCAAGGAATCTAAAGAATACAATAAAACCATACAGGAGATAAAAGATAACATGGCCATTTCAAGAAAGTGCTAAGCTGAACTGATAGAGCTGAAAAACTCACTTGAAGAATTTTACAATAAAATTGCATGTAGTAACAGCAGAATTGCCCAAGCTGAGGAAGAAATATCAGAGTTCAAAGACTGGTTCTCCAACATAACTCAGTCAGACAAAAATAAAGAAATAAAAATAAAGAAGAATGAACAAAACATCCAAGAAATATGGGAGTATGCAAAGAGACCAAATCTATAACTCATTGGTATCTCTGAAAAAGAGGGAGAACATGCAAGCGACTTGGAAAACCTATTTGAAAATATTATCCATAAAAGTTTCCCTAACCTCACTATAGAGGCCAACATTCAAATTCAGGAAATGCAGAGAACTTCTGAAAGATATTATATGATACAACCATCCCCAAGAAACATATTCATCAGATTCTCCAAGGTCAAAATGAAAGGAGAAATGTTAAACGTAGCTGAAGAGAAGGGGCAAGTTACCTACAAAGAGAACCCCATCAGGCTGAAAATGGACTTCTCAGCAGAAACCTTATAAGCCAGAAGAGATTCTGAGCCTATATTCAACATTCATAAAGAAAAGAAATTCCAGCCAAAAATTTGATATCCACCCAAACTAAGCTTCATAAACAAAGGAGAAATAAGATCCTTTTCTGACAAGCAAATAAAAAGGGAATTCATTACCACAGACCTGCCTTAAAAGAGGTCCTTAAGGGAATGCTAAATATGGAAAGGAAAGACCTATTGGTTATTGCAAAGACACATTTAAATACATAGGCCATTGCTAATATAAAGCAACCACACAATCAAGTCTTCATAAGAACCAGCTAACAGCACAATGACAGAATCAAGCTTGTACATATCAGTATTATCCTTGAACATAAAAGGGATAAATGCCCCAATTAAAAGGCACTGAGTGGCTAGTTGGATAAAGAAGCAAGGTTCAACTGTATGCTGTCTACAAGAGACCCGTTTTACATGCAATGACACCCATAGGTTCAAATAAAAGGGATGGAGAAATATCTATCAAGCAAATGGAAAACAGAAAAAATAAGGGGTTGATATTCTAATTTCTCACAAACAGACTGTTAGAATTAGCATTGCCTGATGGTTTTAAGGATTTACAAGGATTTAATTCAACAAGAAGGCATAGCTATATTAAATATACATACATGCAACACAGTAGCACTCAGATTCGTAAAGCAAGTTCTTAGAGAGCTAAAAGAGTCTCAAATAACCACAAAGGAATATGGGGAGATTTCAAATCTCACTGACAATATCAGACAGATCATTGAGACAGAAAACTAACAAAGATACTCAGGACTTGAATTCAATGCTTGATCAAATGGGCCTAAAGGACATCTACAAAACTTTCCAATCAAAAACAATGGAATATATATTCTTATCTGCACTTGGCATACATTCTAAAATCAGCCATACAACTGGCCATAAAACAACCCTCAGCAAATTAAAAAAAAAAAAAAAGAAAGAAATTATACCAGAAACACTCTTAGACTACTGTGCAGTAAAAATAGAAACCAATACTAAGAAAATTGCTGAAAACATGTATTAGTTTGTTTTCATGAAGACATACCCAAGACTGGGCAATTTACAAAAGAAAAGTTTATTGGACTTACAGTTCCATGTGGGTGGGATGCCTCACAGTCATGGTGGGAGGTGAAAGGCATGACTAAAATGGCTGCAGAAATGAGAAGAAAGCTTGTGCTTGGAAGTTCCCGTTTATAAAACCATCAAATTTTGTGAGAACTCACTATCATGGGAACAGTATGGGAGAAACCTCCCCCATGATTCAATTTTCTCCAATGGCCCTCATCTTTGACATGTGGGAATTATTACAGTTCTAGACAAGATTTGGGTGGAGACACAGTCAAACCATATCATTCTACCCCTGGCCCCTCCCAAATCTCATGTCCTCACATTTCAAATCCAATCATGCCTTTGTAAAAGTCCCCCCAAATATTGACTCATTTCAGCATTAACTCAAAAGTCCACAGTCCAAAGTGTCATCTGAGACAAGGCAAGTCCCTTCTGCCTATTGAGACTCTAAAATCAAAAGCAAGTAGGTTACTTCCCAGATACAATTGTGGTACAGGCATTGGATAAATACAGCCATTTCAATGGGAGAAATTGGCCATAACAAAGGGGCTACAGGTCCCATGCAAGTCTGAAATCCAGCAGGGCAGTCAAATCTTAAAGCTCAAAAATGATCTCCTTTGACTCCACGTCTCATATCCAGGTCACACTGATGCAAAAGATGGGTTCTTATGGTCTTCAGCAGCTCCACTCCTGTGACTTTTCAGGGTACAGCATCTCTCCCAGCTGCTTTTGTGGGCTGGTGTTGACTGTCTGCAGCTTTTCCAGGTGAACAGTGCAAGCTGTTGGTGGATCTACCATTCTGGGGTCTGGAGGATGGTGGCCCTCTTCCCACAGCTCCACTAGGTGGTGCCCCAGTAGGGACTCTGTGTGGAGGCTCTGATCCCACACTTCCCTTCTGCACTGTCCTAGCAGAGGTTCTCCATGAGTGCCCCACCCCTGCAGCAAACATCTGCTTATGCATCTCCATACATCTGAAATCTAGGTGGAGGTTCCCAAACCTCAATTCTTAACTTCTGTGTACTCACAGGCTCAATGCCACATGAAAGCTGCCAAGGCTTGGGGCTTGCACCCTCTGAAGCCATGGCCCAAGCAGCACCTTGTCCCCTTTTAGCCATGGCTGGAGCAGCTGAAACGCAGAGTACCGATTCCCTAGACTGCACACAGAAGAGGGACTCTGGGACTGGCCCATGAAACCACCTTTTCCTCCTAGACCTCTGGGCCAGTGATGAGAGGGGCTGCCATAAAGACCTCCAACATGCCCAGGAGACATTTTCTCTATTGCCTTGGGTTTCACATTTAGCTCCTCAGTACTTATGCAAATTTCTGCAGCCACCTTAAATTTGTCCTCAGAAAATGGGATTTTTTTTTCTATTGCATTGTCAGGCTGCATATTTTCTGAACTTTTATTCTCTGTTTCCATTTTAAAATTGAATGTGTTTAACAGTACTCAAGTCACCTCTTGAATGCTTTGCTGCTTAGAAATTTCTTCCACCAGATACCCTAAATCATCTCTCTCAAGCTCAAAGTTCCACAAGTCTCTAGGACAAGGGCAAAATGCCTCCAGTCTCTTTGTTAAACATAACAAGAGTCACCTTTGCTCCAGTTCACAACAAGTTCCTCATCTCTATCTCAGACCAATGTGGCCTGGATTTCATTGTCCATATCATCATCAGTATTTTGGTCAAAATCATTAAACAAGTCTCTGGGGAGTTCCAAACTTTCCCACATTTTCCTATCCTTTTCAGAGCCCTCCAAACTGTTCCAACCTCCACCTGTTACTCAGGTCCAAAGTCGCTTCCACATTTTCGAGTATGTTTTCAGCAGCACCCCACTCTACTGGTACCAATTTACTGTATTGGTTCATTTTCACAGTGCTGATAAAGACAAACCTGAGACTGGGCAATTTATAAAAGAAGGAGGTTTATTGGACTTACATTTTCACGTGGCTGGGGAGGCCTCACAATCATGGCAGAAAGTGAAAGGCATGTCTCACCTGGCTGCAGACAAGAGAAGAGAGCTTGTGCAGGGAAATTCCTATTTTTAAAACAATCAGATCTTTTGAGAACTCACTATCATGAGAACAGTAAGGGGAAACTACACTCATGATTCAATTATCTCCAATGGGCCCTGCCCTTGACATGGGGATTATTACAATTCAAGGTGAGATTTGGGTGGGAACACAGAGCCAAACCGTATCAAAACCATAAAATTATATGAAAGTTAAAGAACCTGCTCCCAAATGACTTTTGGGTAGACAATGAAATTGAGTCAGAAATCAAGATATTATTTGAAACTTATTAGTTTCAAAGATACAATATACCCAGATCTCTGGAACACAAGTAAAATAGTGTTAAAAGGGAATTTTATAGCACTAAAAGTCCACGTCAAAAGGAAAGGTCTCAGAATAACAACCTAACATCACACTTAGAGGAACTACAGACACAAGGAAAAAAAAATTCCAAAGTAGCAAAAGGCAATAAATAAGCAAAATTAGAGCTGAACTTATGGAAATTGAGATGCAGAAATCCATATAAAAAAAGCAACGATTTTAGGAGTTGTTCCATTGAAAGAATAAATAAGATTGCTAGATTACTAGCTTGATTAATAAAGAGAAAAAACAGAGAAGACCCAAATAAACAAAATCAGAAATGACAAAGGGTACATTACCACTGACCCCAAAGAAGTACAAAAAACCCTTCAGAGACTACTATGCACACAAACAAGAAAACCTAGAAGAAACAAATAAATTTTTGGAAACACACAACCTTCCAAAATTTCTTGAACCAGAAAGGAATTGAATCCCTGAACAGTCCAATAATGAATTTCAAAATTGAATCAGTAACAAAATGCCTTCCAACCAGGGAAAGCTCAGGACCAGATGGACTAAGAGCCAAATTATACCAGATGTACAAAGAAGAGTTAGAACCATTTCTACTGAAACTATTACAAAATGTTGAGGAGGAGAGATTCCTCCCTAACTCATCCTAGGAGGCCTGCATCATCCTGACACCAAAAACTGGCAGAGAAAAAAACAAAAATCAAAATTTCAGGCAAATATCCTGGATTAACATTAGTGCAAATATCCTCAACAAAATACTAGCAAACCAAATCGTGCAGCACATCAAAAAGCTAATCCACCATGATCAAGTTTTCATCCTTGAGGTGCAAAGTTGGCTTAAAATACAAAAGTCAATAAATGTGATTCATCACATAAACAGAACTAAAAACAAAGCCCACATGATGAAAAAAGGCCTTTAATAAAATTAAACATCGCTTCATGTTAAAAACCTTCCACAAACTAGGTATGAAAGGAACATACCTCAAAAAATTAAGAGCTATGTAGAGCCATGTATTGTCACAGGATCCTCAGGGTGTTACTTTTCCAGCTGGAAACCTGTGTGGCTGGTGGTGCCTTCCCAAGTTTTGCTTGGGCCTGCTGGGTTTGTTCTGTCCACTCAACCTGGCAGGCTGCACTCAGCTTATGCTACTGGCCCAGATCCTGTGCCTGTCAAAGGCAAGCCAGGTGTGGAGTGGCAAGGGGTTTCTAAGTGAGTTCCAGCCACTGTACACAGCCACGTGTGCCAGCTGCAGCAGGGTGGACAGCTTCAGGGATTGGTGCAGGGGCCAGCTCTGTGCGAGGCAGAAGCTGGACCAGGCATACTGCAAGTAGCTTTCACTGTGAGCACTGGGGAATGTGGTGGCACCCAAAAGCTTGGAGACACTAGGAACAATAGAGCCCCAAAGATGGTGTCACAGCCTTGGCTAAGGGAGTCCCTAGGTCTGGGCTCCCAAAAGGGCCACAGCTCTTCTCTCCTTCTTGTCACCTACAACGTGGTGAGCAGGGGGCATTTCAGCCTGGTTTGTGTTACAGCTTTTTCAATCCTGCCATTCAGTGGGTCCTGAGTTCTTGCCCCATGTTCAGGAACAATGAGGTACATGGACAACTGGAGGATGAGCAAGGCAGACCTCCTTAATTGAGCAATGGAATAGCTCTCAGGAGACCCAAAGTCAGTAGCTCCATTCTGGAGCCAGGTCATTCTGAAGATTGTCCAGCTCTTGGAGGAGAGGAGACCCATAGTGGGTAGCTCCTTTCCACAGGCAGGTCATCCTGATAAATTGAGGAGACTAAAAATGGGTAGCTTCTTCCCAGAGCTGGTAGTCCCAACATCCTTGTGAGTCTGTCTCATACACCCTGAGTCCAGGGTTTTTATGGGCCCAGAAGGGAGGAAGTGTGTGTTGACGGGTTCGCAGGCAGGCCCAGGAAAAGTACTATAATTTCTCACTCCAGACCACGGACTCCACTTGGAACTGGCAGCCCAGCTCTCAGGCTTCAGGCTGTCCCTGGCTTGAAGGTGGGGTTTCACTAGCGACCCATCCTTTCCTTCCAGAAACTTGTCTCCCTCTCACAATCAACATGCCATCCACAGCACCCAGCCTGTTTATGCTGAGGGGCACCTGCAGGCCCATGATGAGCTTCCCTCACCCCCCTTCAACCTTCTTTTGCTTCTTGACACCCAAAGTCTGGAGGGGGTCAAGGCAGCAGGGGCTGGAATGTCAGCACCACCCCATGTGTGCACACACCTGCCCAGATCTCAATAGTGCCTGGGCTTGGCCACATATTCGCTCCACACTGGAATGGGCACCAGGAACAGGGAGATGCCAGAGAATGGGAGAAAGCACTTCTGAGCCTGCACGGGCAGGGATTTTTCCAGGCCCCGGAAAATGCAGGAATGCCTGGGTCCAGAGCCACTGCTGGGCAGCTGCAGCTGTGTCCAGGAGCATGGGGCTACTGCCCCACCAACTCAGTAGGGGGAGGGGCTCTTTTCTGTTCCAGGCCCCCTCTGACTCCACAGAGCACAGAACCCTGGCCACACCTCTTGTGCTGCAGCTGGCATCCCCACAGTGGCTGCTCCAGACAGGCCGCCACCGCCATCATAATGACAAACCCACAGCCAACACCATACTGAATGAGCAAAAGCTGGAAGCATTCTCCTAGAGAACCGGAAAAAGACAAAGATGCCCATTCTCACTGCTCCTATTCAGCATAGTCCTGGAAGTCATAGTCAGAATGATGAGGCAAGAGAAAGAAAACACAATCAAATAGGCCAAGAGAAAGTAAGAAAAATTCTGTCTGTAGATGATATGATTCTATACCAAGAAAATCCCACCCAAAAGAGTGTATGTATTCTCTGCCCAAAAGCTCTTAGATCTGGTAAACAACTTCAGCCAAGTTTCACTGTACAAAATTAATGTACCAAATTCAGTAGCATTTCTATACACCAACAATATCCAAGCTGAGAAACAAATCAGGAATGCAATCCTATTAACCATAGCCACAAAAAGAAAAAAATACCTAGGAATACCTCTGACCAGGCAGGTGAAAGACCTCTACAGCAAGAATTAGAATAACTAATTATAATTACAACTAATTCAACTAGTCAATAAAATCAGAGATGAAACAAGCAAATGGAAAAATATTCCATGCTCACAGAATGTATTGAGCTCATGGATACACCCTTTTGGATAGGATTTTCTTGGTATGGAATCATATCATCTACAAACAGAAATTGTTTTGCTTTCTCTTTGCCTATTTGATTGTGTTGTCTTTCTCTTGCCTTATGCTCAATATTGTTAAAATATCCATTCTGTTCAAAGCAATCTATAGATTAAGTGTTATTCCTATCAAACTACCAATGACAGTCTTCATAAAATTAGAAAAAAAAACTATTCTAAAATAAATATGGAACCAAAAAAGAGCCCAAATAGCCAAGTATGCTACAAGATTACAGTAACCAAAAGAGCATGGTACTGGTACAAAAATAGACATACAGACCAAGGGAACAGAATAGAGAGACCAGAACTATAGCTGCACACCTATAGCTATCTGATTTTTGACAAATTTGACCAAAAAAGCAATGGAGAAAGGACTCCATATTCAGTAAATATGCTGGGATAACTGGCTAGCTATATGCAGAAGACTAAAACTGGGTCCCTTCCTAACACCATACACAAAAATCAACTTAAGATGGGTTTAAAACTTAAATGCAAAACCTCACACTATAAAAACCCTGAAACATAATCCAGAAAATACCATCCGGACATAGGCCCTGGCAAAGACTTTGGGATGAAGAAACCAAAAGCAATTGTAACAAAAATAAAAATTGACAAATGAGGTGTAAACTAAACGACTTCTGCACAGCAAAATAAACTATCAACAGAGTACAGAGACAACCTACAAAAAGGGAGAAAATGTTTGCAAACTATGCATCTGACAAAGGTCTAATATCCAGAATGTATAAGGAACTTAAATTAACAAGTGAGTAACATATAACCCTATTAAAAATGGGCAACAGACATAAACAGACACTTAATAAAGAAGAAGTACACACAGCCAACAACCATATGAAAAAATCTCAACATCACTAATCATTAAAGAAATTCAAATCTAAACCACAATGAGATACCATCTCACACAAGTCAGAATGGCTATTACTAAAAAGTCAAAAAATAACAGATGTAGGTGCGGCTGTGGCGAAATGGGAATGCTTGTACACTGTTGGTGAGAGTGTAAATTAGGTCATCCACTGTGGAAAACAGTGTGGCAACTTTTCAAAAAACTTAAAACAGAAGTACCACTTGACCCAGCAATCCATTATTGGGTATATATCCAAAGCAATATAAATCATTCTACCATAAAGACACATGCAGTTGTATGTTCATCACTGCACTATTCACACTAGCAAAAACATGGAATTAACTTAAATACCCATCAATGGTAGACGGGATAAAGAAAATGTGGTATATAGACATCATGGAATGCTATACAGGCAAAGAACAAGATCGTGTTCTTTGTCACAATGTGAATGGAGCTGGAGGACATAATCCTAAGTGAACTACTGCAGGGACAAAAAACCAAATAACGCATGTTCTCACTCACAAATGGGAGCTAAACTTTGCATATACATGGACAAAAGGAAAAGAATACCAAACACGAGGGCCTACTTGAAGGTGCAAGTTTGGAAGAGGGAGAGGATCAAATGACTGTCAGGTACTATGCTTATTACTTGGGTGACAAAATAACTTCTACACCAAACTCCCATGACACAGTTTATTGATTTACCAAAACTGCACGTGTATCCCTGAACCTGAAATACAAGTTTAAAGAAATCCTTCTATGCCTCTTCATGGCTATGTGACTTTGGATAATCTATTTAAATTATTTGTGATTCAGTTTTCTCTTTCATATAATGCAAATAATAATAATGATACTTACTTCATAAGGATGTGAGTATTCAACACATTATGTGGTAATTACAGCACGCAGTTCACAAACAGTGATAAAAAAGTTAACAATAATTATTTTAATTATTTTTTAAAATCTGCAGCACAAAGAATAAGTATAGAAGAATATGATGCAGATTTGAGAAGGCTAGAAAGATCATGTGGCCGGCATAGTCCATTTTTTTCATGCAAAAGTGTTTTCATTTGACAATTTTATAAAGACTCATACATTTAGATCTTCAACCTCCTGTCAGACACATCCCTGTGTCATAGTTATGTCACACAAATATGCTCTACTATTCCCAAACCTATACAATACAATCTCTATTATCAGTGGTGAGAGTCATTGCAATTGTCTACATCTTTACTATCTATTCATTCCAAATAGTCATTTTTAAAGTCAAATTGTTCCATTGGCAGATTAAATTATATACAGAAAATGCTAAAATAATACATTAAAAACTATTAGAACTAATACATAAATTCAGTAAATTTGCAGGATATAAAGCCAACATGCAAAAATCAGTAGCATTTCTAGATAAACATAGTGAACAACTGAATAAGAAATCAAAAAAGTAACCCCATTTACAACAGCTACCAATCAAATAGAATACCTAGCAATAAATTTAACCAAGCAGATAAAAGATCTCCACAATGAAACTACAAAACATTGGTGAAATAAATGGAAGAGAAAAGATATAAATTAGAAGATATCCTATGTCCATAAATTAGAAGAATTTATATTGCTAAAATGTCCATAATTCCCAAAGCAATTACAGATTTTGTGCAATCCTCATCAAAATACCAATGACATTCTTCACAGAAGTAGAAAAAACAATACTAAAATTAACCACAAAAGTCTTCAAATAGCCACAGAAATCTTGAGCAAAAAGAACAAAGCGAGAGGCATCACACTGACTTTAAAATATACTACAAAGCAATGGCAACCAAAACAGTATGGTACTGGCATAAAAACAGACACATAGAAAAATAGACCAGAAAAACAAACACATATTAAAACATTAAATATGTATGTAAATCTATATATTTACAGCCAACTGATCTTCAACAAAGGTGCCAAGGACACACATTGGGGAAAGCACAGTTGCTTCAATAAATGGCACTGGGAAAATTGAATATCCACATTCAGAAGAATGAAATTAGACCCTAATTTCTCACCACTTACAAAAATCAACTCAAAATGTATTAAAGACTTAAGTATAATACCATAAACTATAAAACTATTAGAATAAAAAATTGAGGGAAAGTTTTAGAACATTCATTCTGGCAAGGATTTTTTAATAAGACCTCAGAAGCTTAGGCAACAAAAGCAAAATGAAGTTACATCAAGCCAAAAAGCTTCTGCACAGGAAAGGTGGTTGTGCTATGGGTTAGAAATTTGGATTACTGCTGTTTTGTGAATAAAAATAAGTATTCCTTTGGTCAAATTTTGTCCCATTGACTTTAGTCATTTATTATAATTAGAAGTAAGGTTTTTATTAATAATTTTATTTCCAAATTTTTATTAAATTGAAAGGAAGTAGATCCATATTTTAACTTAAATGTAATTTTCAATATTGTGGTTGCATAGATATACATGTAATAAGTAAGCTAAAAATAAATGTTTAAAAAATATTGGACCACTGATGAGAAAATTCTATCCTAAGATATTACCAAATAAAAACATTTCAGTACTCTAAGTTATATTGGAAAATTTATATAATAGCTTACATAGAAACACTACAAGTCAGATAAAATAAAAATCACATTATAATTTATGCTAACATAAAAGTGTATAACTACTTTAAAGGATGTATAAGTAAAAACATTAAGAATATTTCATACCTTCACACAATTACAGCAAGATTCACATTACAAACTATAGGTCATGGATACAATAAAACAGGCAAATATGTCAATAGTTTAGTTAAAAATGAAGAAAAACTACAAGTTTTTAATCAGCAAAAAGTAACTTTGTTCCAGGTAGTTAGAAAGAATAGATTAAAACTAACCCTGTAACCAAGTTTATAAATAAAAATAATTTCATGAGACAGAAATGTGATATATCTAATTAACAAGGTTGTTCATATTTTAATTTTTATAGTGATAGTGATGAGTGATCATGTAGATGATCCCCATAAATATCTCCTTACAATTGTGAATCTATATGATTGAATCCATATTTATCTTAAATGAATATAGAAAAGTTTGCCTTTAATAAAATATGTTAAAGATACAATATACAGGAAAAACTTCAAAATTAAAAATTAGCCATTTTATGTATGTGTTTCAAAAGAGATGTTGGGCTTGTACCAAAATGTAAACATTTCAGACTTGTTAGGAAATATCCGTCAAATCTATCAGTGGTTTATATATTTTAATTTGTTGGTGACTACAACTTTGGCTTTTTGTCCAATGATTTATTCCTTTTGGCAATGAATCTCAGGTCTATTAGATTTATCATACAAAAATATTGTTCCTTCTCATCAATTTACTATTTAATGATACATGCTCTTTTCCTCAATTGTCCTTTATATATTCACACAGAAGTAGTTTGAAATATGTAGTGTTCTTAAGAAATTAATAACTTCAAATTAGATAAAAGTTAATGTTAACTGTGTAATGATATTAAGAACCAATTCTGTGGTTACTTTTTTTTTTTTTTTGATACAGAGTTTTGCTCTGTTGCTAAGGCTGGAGTACAGTGTCATGATCTCAGCTCACTGCAGCCTCTGCCTCCTCGGTTCAAGTGATTCTCCGGCCTCAGCCTCCCAAGTAGCTGGGATTACAGGCATGTGCTACCACGCTCAGCTAAATTTTTGTGTTAGTAGCAGAGATGAGGTTTCATTATGTTGGCCAGGCTGGTCTCAAACTCTTGGCCTCAAATGATCTGCCTGCCTTGGCCTCCCCAAGTACTGGTGTGGTTACTTTATATAAACATATATATATATGAATCATCATCCATGCCTCAAAATTAGAATCCCAGAAAGGAAGTTACCTAACATGACGTGTACTCAAGAAATCTGGCCAGCATGTTGATCAGGAATTAGAAAGGGACAAGAAAGGTACAAAGAGAAGAACAATTATCACACAACTGGAAGAGTCTGAGTTGAAGGACCTCTGAATCTCTGTAGCAGCAGTAGATATGAAGGCTAGAGAGATGTAGGAAATAGGATCAATAAGATTTGAAAACTAATTAATTGTATTTCAAGAATGAGAGGAGATAAAGTTGGGAAAAAATGACTCAGACGTTTCTAACTTAAAAAACTAGATGAAAAGAAAAACTCTACCTTACCAAACCTTTTGGGAGTTAGAAAAAATTATACATTTGTGTCCAAATATGTTTGAAGGCAAAATCTCTGTTAAAATCTAGTAGGTTTTGGATATATGGAGCCAAAATGCAGAACAGAAATTGGAGACAGAGATACAAATCTTGGTGAGAGCTGAAGCCTCAGGGTTGAATGTGTTTGCAAGGAAAAGTAAAGCATAGATGGGACTAATGACAGAGTGTGCCAATAACAGTCATGCAAAATGGTAAAATTTTAGAGGCAGGCCAGGGAGAGCAATATATAAAAAGATGGAACAACAACAACAAAAAAAACAGTTATGTTGTTAAAACAAAAGAGGCAAATGATGTTAGGTGTGGTAAGTGGTCCCATTGGAAAAGATAGACCACAAATCTCTCCTGAAATATTAAATAAAGAAAATAAATAAGTCAAAAATTAATCCAAGATATAACCAGTAAGTCACTGGGAACTTAACAGAGAGAGGAGATTTGGTAAGAAGCATTAATTTAGGGTAGGAAGTGTATTTTTGCTTTGGTGTCTGTTAAGTTCATTGTGATGAAATCCACCCAAGAAGATATGTTCATTTGGAAACTGGTGAAGGAGCTTGAACTTGGGTAAATGGACGTGAATTCTATTATTAGATATATAAATATATGACAATTGATAATTTACTAAAATTTTTCATAGCCATTTGATTATTTTATGTATTTCAAACATTACTAAAATAATCCCAACTATTAATTGAACACTTGAAATATTCTAGGAATTATGTTTATCTCTTTATGTGTCATTTAATCCTTACAACAAAACTTCAATCTCAGTAGTATTATTAATGATTAGATTTTAAACATGAAAGCACTGGGAGTCACAGAGCAGTTTACGTACTTGGCCAAGGTCACATAGCTATAGAGAGAGTGGGCTACAACATGGGTACTCTGAATCTAGATTCTGAACTCTTCGCCACCATGCAGTACTTATTGCAGGTGTTAAGGATAAATGGCTTCTAAACATTCATAGAAGGAAAATTAGTTGATTCTGCTAAAATTGAAGGACTGAATTTCTCCTTTAAAGATTAATGGAAAACGCCCATGAAACAAAATCTGCAAGAAAATAAGCAAATAATGTAATCATAAAATTAATTTGCTTCTTCAAGAAAGAGGGAACACTTCCGTTACTGAAAACTTGTGCTTGTTATAGAAAGCATATTTTAAGCAATAAGCATGTATTATCTATGTTTATGTTGATTTTATAATTTTTATAGTTTTTTAAGTTCCAAGTCCTTACATGTTTTAAAAGATTAAAACAATGGTTTTAACTTTTATCCTGAAATGTATGCAAATTTTCCAGTTCTGCTTTAGAATTACTTTTACAGAACTATAGATCACCTGGAAATTTTGAATACATTAATTTTCTCTTCACAAACAAATGGTTATTATTACAAGACAATGCAATTGAAGATACGGTTGCATATTAGCAGTGGATATTTGAAACTAGAACAATGAGTTTTCTAAAGATGAACTTTTTAATACACTCCTACACTTCTAAAAGTAACTATGGGACATGCACTATAATTATGTGTTATAGAAAATGAATAAAAGATGTTCTTCAGAAACAAATATAAAGTAATATGAGAACTCCTTCTCATCTTTAATTTAAAACAATGCTACCGCACATTTGACCCAAAAGAGACTTTATCATAAAACATTCAGAATCACATACAAATTAATATAAAAACACAGGTTACATGCACTCTCAAATCTGCTATCAATTTTCCACGATTTTTTTTAATTGGTAAAGTTAAGCCATCAATATTTCCCTTACTTTTTCCAGTATGTAAACTCAAAATTATTTTCAAATATTTATATTCCATATGCTACATATTACAAATTTTTTTAAAAAGCAAGACAAATTGTACCTAGTCATAAATTTCAACTAGGCTTTCATAAGCAAGTAATAGATTTCTTAAGATATGGCTGGGCGCAGGGGCTCATGCCTGTAATCCCAGCACTTTGAGAGGCCGACGGGGGTGGATCACCTGAGGTCAGGAGTTTGAGACCAGCCTGGCCAGCAGAGTGAAACCCCATCTCTGTAAAAATACAAAAATTAGCCAGGCGAGTTAGTGGGTGCCTGTAGTCCCAGCTACTCAGGAGGCTGAGGCAGGAGAATTGCTTGAACCCAGGAGGCGGAGGTTGCAGTGAGCCGAGATCACGCCATCGCACTCCAGCCTGTGTGACACGAGCAAAACTCCATCTCAAAAAAAAAAAAAAAAAAAAAAGAAGACATGGCTAATCAACTACAATTAAATATGCACATTATAAATATGTTTTTAAAATAAAGATCTTTATTTCTTAGGTCTTTCTAGCCATAGAATTCAGCAAAAACTATGGATCAAAGATATTCAGTTCAAAAATTAAAATAAGTTTCTGAGCACTGAAAAACTTAATAGTTGAAGGTACTTGGTGGAAGAGTAGATGTTGCTTACTGAAATCGCTTTATTACTGCCTAGAATAACTATACCCTGCTTATTCCTGAATATAAAAAAATAAAGTCTCTAAGAGAGTAAATACATACTTATATCAAATAGGAGGTATCTTATCTTAACTGGATTTAATGTTGACTAAATTGGTCTTATCCCCACGGAGCTTCTAACGCTGCTCCTGGCATATAGAGCAGATTAGAAAAAAGAAAAAAGCTCACCCTTAGGTAATCAGAAATCCCTTCTACTCTAGTTTTCTAGTGGAGATTATAGATTAAAATCACAGTCATCGATATTATTTCCAAATTAATTTAAGCTAATGCCAGTTTCTTTTGTCAAAGTAAAAAAAAAGTGTTAGCTCAATAACAGTGTAGAAATGTTTAGGACATGTACTTCTCTTGCATTAAATAAGAGAGTGTTACAGAGTGTTTGATTATTGATTAATATTTATTAATAACAATAGCCTGATTGTTTAGGGTGAAATATATTTTAACCAGGCAAATTAGTCATGCCATGAACTCTAAATCTTCCTTGCCCATCTTGTCTACAGAGGCACCAAATCCTGCCAACTCCACTTCCTATCGGTATCAAAAAATGTCTCTTCGTCAACTATCCTTCAATCTGCGTAACATTCTATTCTAATTCAGATCCTTATCATTTCATTCTTATCATAACTTCAATTCAAAGTTATTTTTACTAATGTTTTTATTGGGGCTTATTATGCTTATTATTAAATATAAAGCTTAACTGATAAAGAAAAAACCTCCTCATCCAATGTTCATAAGATGTAACCATGTTCATAACCTTACAGACATTTTCAATATAAGTACAGACATGCATGTGAGTATATGCATGTTTATATTCAAGTATTCAATTTTTACAAAAATAAATTCCGACTTATTGTTTCTTGACTTGGTTTAAATTGTGTGTGTGTGTTAACAATGGGTTGTAATTTTATTAAGATCTTTGGATAAATTCTTGTATTCAGTACCTCCATGTTATATTTATCCAACATTTCAAAATTAATTTAAATATCAGAGACTAAAAAGAAGTAATATCAATAGTAGGCAAAACTTCAAAATTTTTATATAGAAATCATCAATAGACAATATCTGAAGGCCTGTTTTTTTTTTTCCACTTTACGGGTTCCATAAGAATAAACTGATAAAAGACACTATCCTATTTGGTATTAACATACACAGTATTATTCCATTTTCACATTTAGATATTCATCAATAACTTTAGAGGTAATTTCAAAGCAATTTTACCTTATTCCTGAAAGTTATTATATCCATATAAAACAGGGAAAATTGCAAATCAGAGATTAGGCAAATTTGAAAGCAAATACCCCAAATTTTGCATTGTTTAAAGCAGGCTACATCAGTACCTCAAATTTGCATCCTGTGGTAACTATAATATCATCATAGAAAATATGCATAAAGGTATTTTGGAGTGGGAATAATATTATCCAATCACATTCCCTTGCATGGACACACTGTTTTGCTATGCAGACCCAAAAGGGAACCAGAATTGGTCTGTATGGTTGTACCTGGATGCAAATAAGGCCAGTAATTTTCCCTTAAGTGTCTGTGATGTGCTTCAGGCCACCCTTTCCCAGACAGTTCCCAGAAAGATTAATTATTTTAGGACTAGTAATACTAGAAGTTTTCTATTTCCATCCACCTGTTGTATAGGTAGTAAGAGAGTTAGGGAAGCTGGAATGAAGGGAGGAAGTATGATTAAGAGAATGATATTTAAATGTTTATACATAAGCTCTGTTTTGTAGGGTAGTAAAATAATCAAGTGGAAAATATTCAGCAAGTAATTAGAAATGAGTGGTGGGAATTCTGAAAGAAAGTAAAATGTAGATTCTAATGCTAGGTGAGAAGTGGAGCTTTCTGATGCCATGGGATTGGGGGCTATACAATAGGTAGTTTTCTATTACCATCCATCCGAGGGTAACAAGTTATGCACAATATCCTGTTTATGAAATACTAGAAATAGGTTTATATCTACAAAGCACTTTCAAGTGCTCTGAATATTTTAGCACCAGCCAAAATCATACTGATCTCAGTGGTGCTATCTACCTGCCAAACATTGTCTTCACATCCCTGAAAACTTTCTTTAAAAAGTGGTCTATTTCTACTGTTGCAATTTCCTCAGCCTACTCTTTTTTGAAGTGCCTCTAATCAAAATTATACCGTATTCTTACAATGTACACTATTGGGGTGATGGTTACACTGAAATCTCAGTCTGCACACATATCCCCTAAATTTATACAAGAAAAAAGTTCTAAACTCAAAAAATGCTTTAAAAAATAATCACAGATTCTCCAAATATTTTAGTTTTTTTCATTTGTTTTCTTATTTTATGACACATTATCCTGGTCCTCATAGTACCTTCATCAGTTTTGCTTACTCGTCTTCCTCCTGTGTTCAGCAGGTTAGCTGCTAGCTTTCTATTTCTCTCTCTTTATACATTTCTCTATGCAGCTCCACCAATCCCATGACATCAGAAATCTCCACTCTTCACCTAGTGTTCAAATCTACACTTTACTTTCTTTCAGAGTTACCATCTCTCATTTCTAATTACTTGCTGAATATTTTCCAGTTGGTTATCTTACTACCCTACAAAACAGAGCCTCTGTGTAAATGTTTAAATATCATTCTCTCAATCACACTTCCTCCCTCCATTCCAGCTTCCCTAACTCTCTTACTGCCTATACAATAAAATCAAAACATTTTGTTCTGTCGTTTAGAAATATCTCCATCCTTATTGTAACTGCTCATCATTTCAATGGTTATGCTTCATTTTAACTTGAACACTCACTGTGAGCACCCTTGAAATCTTGTAATTTTCTTTCCATTTTCTGTGTACTATTCCAATTACAATTCTCTCCCAATTCATTATTTATCTAAAGCATAACATTCTCAAAGAATCTCTTAAAGCTCCAGAATAATGCTTCTATTATTCTATTACACTCTGTTTATTTCTTGAGTATCACTTATTACACTCCTTAATTACTGAATTTATATATGTGTTTACTTATGAATGTATATAATCTATGTATAGGAAGACCAGGAAGATCTATAAAACATAAGCTTCCCTTTATCAAGGCCTATGTTTTTTGGGAAACAATTTTCCATTCATCTTTCTTTTTTCTGCATGTCTTATGATCAGAAGCATCATAATGTAACCTCCAACGATTTACACTCCAACATAATCTCCTCCTGCTGAGGGTGAAAAAAAACTTTTGACTTCCCTCTAGCCAACAGAATATGGCAAAAGGATGGAATACTCAATCCCTTTATTAACTTACGTTATATGGCGGACCTGATGAGCTAGTTACTCCCATGGTTTTGTATAGGACTATTTCAGCAGACTGGAGTGAGAGACTCTCCTGTTGGCTTTAAAAAGAAAATGAGCTGCCATATTGTGAAAAGGCCTTTGAGAGAGCAATACAGCAAAGAACTATGGGTAACACTTAGGAGGTGAGCATGGCTCCCAGATGAAAAACAGAAAGAAAAGGGAGTTCTCATTTCTGCAATCACCAGCACCTAAATTCTGCTAACAACCAACTGACGCTGGAAGAAGATTCTGCACTCTAGAAAAGAATTCATCCTAACTGACACCTTAAATTTGGACTCATAAGATTAAAAACAGAGGACTCTGTTATCATGCCAAGACTGCTGACTCAAAGGAACTATGAGATTATAAATACATTGTTTTAATCCACTAAATGCATCATGATTTGTTGCATAGAAACAGAGAATTAATACAGGCTCTGATGGTTTTTGTTTTGGGCTATCTTATCCTGAATGACAATATGGCAAATAGCCTTGGAATATTAGTATTTCTCTGAAAACTTGAGGGCAGTTTTGTTCATTGAGCAGTGTAATAAATGTCTTCCTCCAGCACAAAGGGCAAGCAGATTGAAGCTCCTACTTCTTGATGTGCCATAAGTATAAAGACCTTTGTCTTAGACTCAGGAGTCTAAGATACCACTGTCCACGAAACTGCCAAGCTGACTTGTTAACTTGCAAACAGGGTAAAAATATCAGATTCTTCATTGTTCTTGACAATGTGCTTCTTATTCACTTTTGATTTTTTACATAAGGCTAGCAAAATGTCTAACATATAATAGGTGCTCAATTAAAACAATTTAAAGTAATAAATAAACTAATGGATTTAGTAGAACAACTATAACCTAAAGGAATTTCTTCTCACAACCTAGTATGGCATTTATAATCTGTATAATTAAATTTAAAACGGAGTGGAGCCAAAATGCCAAATAGGAACAGCTCCAGTCTACAGCTCCCAGCGTGAGCGACACAGAAGACAGGTGATTTCTGCATTTCCAACTGAGGTACCGGGTTCATCTCACTGGGGCATGTCGAAGCAGTGGGTGCAGGACAGTGGGTGCAGCTCACCGAGCGTGAACCAAAGCAGGAAGAGGCATTGCCTCACCCAGGAAGGACAAGGGGTCAGGAAATTCCCTTTCCTAGCACAGGAAGGGGGTGACACACGGCACCTGGAAAATCAGGTCACTCCCACCCTAATACTGTGCTTTTCCAATGGTCTTAGCAAATGGCACACCAGGAGATTATATCCCCCGCATGGCTCAAAGGATCCTATGCCCACAGAGCCTCACTCATTGCTAGCACAGCAGTCTGAGATCAAACTGCAAAGCCTCAGCGAGGGTGGGGGAGGGGCGCCCACCATTGCCAAGGCTTGAGTAGGTAAACAAAGCATCCAGGAAGCGCGAACTGGGTAGAGCCCACTGCAGCTCAAGGAGGCCTCCCTGCCTCTGTAGGCTCCACCTCTGGGGGCAGGGCATAGCCAAACAAAAGACAGCAGAAACCTCTGCAGACTTAAATGTCCCTGTCTGACAGCTTTGAAGAGAGTAGTGGTTCTCCCAGCACGCAGCTTGAGATCTGAGAATGGACAGACTGCCTCCTCAAGTGGGTCCCTGACCCCTGAGTAGCCTAACTGGGAGGAACTCCGCAGTAGGGGCAGACTGACACCTCACATGGCCGGTTACTCCCTCTGAGACAAAACAAATGGAGGAATGATCAGGCAGCAACATTTGCTGTTCACCAATATCTGCTGTTCTTCAACCTCTGCTGCTGATACCCAGGAAAATAGGGTCTGGAGTGGACCTCCAGGAAACTCCAACAGACCTGCAGCTGAGGGCCCTGACTGTTAGAAGGAAAACTAACAAACAGAAAGGACATCCACACCAAAACCCCATCTGTATGTCACCATCATCAAAGACCAAAGGTAGATAAAAACACAAAGATGGGGAAAAAACAGAGCAGAAAAACTGAAAATTTTAAAAATCAGAGTGCCTCTCCTCCTCTGAAGGAAGGTAGGTCCCCACCAGCAATGGAACAAAGCTGGACGGAGAATGACTTTGACGAGTTGAGAGAAGAAGGCTTCAGATGATCAAACTACTCCGAGCTAAAGTAGGAAGTTCGAACCCATGGCAAAGAAGTTAAAAACCTTGAAAAAATATTAGATGAATGGCTAACTAGAATAACCAATGAAGAGAAGTCCTTAAAGGACCTGATGTAGCTGAAAACCACGGCACGAGAACTACGCAATGAATGCACAAGCCTCAGTAGCTGATTCGATCATCTAGAAGAAAGGATATCAGTGATTCAAGATCAAATGAATGAAATGAAGTGAGAAGAGAAGTTTAGAGATAAAAGAATAAAAATAAATGAACAAATCCTCCAAGAAATATGGGACTATGTGAAAAGACCAAATCTACATCTGACTGGTGTTCCTGAAAGTGACAGGGAGAATGGAACCGAGTTGGTAAACACTCTGCAGGATATTATCCAGGAGAACTTCCCCAATCTAACAAGGCAGGCCAACATTCAAATACAGGAAATACAGAGAACGCCACAAAGATACGCGTCCAGGAGAGCAACTCCAAGACACATAATTGTCAGATTCTCCAAAGTGGAAATGAAGGAAAAAATGTTAAGGGAAGCCAGAGAGAAAGGTCAGGTTACCAACAAAGGGAAGCCCATCAGACTAACAACTGATCTCACAGCAGAAACTGTACAAGCCAGAAGAGAGTGCGGGTCAATATTCAACATTCTTAAAGAGAAGAATTTTCAATCCAGAATTTCATATCCAACCAAACTAAGCTTCAGAAGTGAAGGAGAAATAAAATACTTTACAGACAACCCAATGCTGAGAGATTTTGTCACCACCAGGCCTTCCCTACAAGAGCTCCTGAAGGAAGCACTAAACATGGAAAGGAAAAACTGGTACCAGCCACTGCAAAAACATGCCAAATTGTAAAGACCATCAAGGCTAGGAAGAAACTGCATCAACTAATGAGCAAAATAACCAGCTAACATCATGACAGGATCAAATTCACACATAACAATATTAACTTTAAATGTAAATGGGCTAAATATTCCAATTAAAAGACACAGACTCGCAAATTGGATAAAGAGTCAAGGCCCATCAGTGTGTTGTATTCACGAAACCCATCTCAAGTGCAGAGAGACATATAGGCTCAAAATAAAGGGATAGAAGAAGATCTACCAAGCAAATGGAAAACAAAGAAAAGCAGGGGTTGCAATCCTAGTCTGTGACAAAACAGACTTTAAACCAACAAAGATCAAAAGAGACAAAGAAGGCCGTTACATAATGGTAAAGGGATCAATTCAACAAGAAGAGCTAACTATCCTAAATATATATGCACCCAATACAAGAGCACCCAGATTCATAAAGGAAGCCCTTAGAGACCTACAAAGAGACTTAGACTCCCACACAATAATAATGGGAGACTTTAACACCCCACTGTCAACATTAGACAGATTGAGACAGAAAGTTAACAAGGATATCCAGGAATTGAACTCAGCTCTGCACCAAGTGTACCTAATAGACATCTACAGAACTCTCCACCCAAATCAACAGAATCTACATTCTTTTCGGCACTACACCACACCTATTCCAAAATTGGCCATATAATTGGAAGTAAAACACTCCTCAGCAAATGTAAAAGAACAGAAATTATAACAAACTGTCCCCCAGACCACAGTGCAATCAAACTAAAACTCAGGATTAAGAAACTCACTCCAAACCACTCAACTACATGGAAACTGAACAACCTGCTCCTGAATGACTACTGGGTACATAATGAAATGAAGGCAGAAATAAAGATATTCTTTGAAACCAATGAGAACAAAAACACAACATTCCAGAATCTCTGGGACACATTCAAAGCAGTACATAGAGGGAAATTTATAGCACTAAATGCCCACATAAGAAAGCAGGAAAGATCTAAAATTGACACCTTAACATTGCAATTAAAAGAACTAGAGAAGCAAGAGCAAACACACTCAAAAGCTAGTGAAGGTAAAAAAATAACTAAGATCAGAACAGAACTGAAGGAAATAGAGACACAAAAAACCCTTCAAAAAATCAATGAATCCAGGAGCTGATTTTTTGAAAAGATCAACAAAATTGATAGACCGCTAGCAAGACAAAGAAGAAAAGAGAGAAGAATCAAATAGACACAATAAAAAATGATAAAGGGAATATCACCACCGTTCTCACAGAAATACAAACTACCATCAGAGAATACTATAAACACCTCTATGCAAATAAACTAGAAAATCTAGAAGAAATGGATAAATTCCTCAACACATACTAAACCAGGACTAAACCAACTCTCCCAAGACTAAACCAGGAAGAAGTTGAATCTCTGAATAGATCAATAACGGGCTCTGAAATTGAGGCAATAATTAATAGCTTACCAACCAAAAAAGTCCAGGACCAGATGGATTCACAGCCGAATTCCACCAGAGGTACAAGGAGGAACTGGTACCATTCCTTCTGAAACTATTACAGTGAATAGAAAAAGAGGGAATCCTCCCTAACTCATTTTATGAGACCAGCATCATCCTGATACCAAAGCCTGGCAGAGACACAACAAAAAAAGAGAATTTTAGACCAATATCCCTGAAGAACATCAACACAAAAATCTTCAATAAAACACTGGCAAACTGAATCCAGCAGCACATCAAAAAGCTTATCCACCATGATCAAGTGGGCTTCATCCCTGGGATGTAAGGCTGGTTCAACATATGCAAATCAATAGATGTAATCCAGTATATAAACAGAACCAAAGACAAAAAATACATGATTATCTCAATAGATGCAGAAAAGTCCTTTGACAAAATTCAACAGCCCTTCATGCTAAAAACTCTCGATAAATTAGGTATTAATGGGATGTATTACAAAATAATAAGAGCTATTGATGACAAACCCACAGCCAATATCATACTGAATGGGCAAAAACTGGAAGCATTCCCTTTGAAAACTGGCACAAGACAGGGGTGCCCTCTCTCACCACTCCTAATCAACATAGTGTTGGAAGTTCTGGCCAGGGAAATCAGGCAGGAGAAGGAAATAAAGGGCATTCAATTAGGAAAAGAGGAAGTCAAATTGTCCCTGTTTGCAGATGACATGATTGTATATCTAGAAAACTCCGTTGTCTCAGCCCAAAATCTCCTTAAGCTGATAAGCAACTTCAGCAAAGTCTCAGGATACAAAATCAATGTGCAAAAATCACAAGCATTCTTATACACCAATAACAGACAAACAGCCAAATCATGAGTGAACTCCCATTCACAATTGCTTCAAAGGGAATAAAATACCTAGGAATCCAACTTACAAGGGATGTGAAGGACCTCTTCTAAAGAGAACTACAAACCACTGCTCAATGAAATAAAAGAGGATACAAACAAATGGAAGAAATTCCATGCTCATGGGTAGGAAGAATCCATATGGTGAAAATGGCCATGCTGCCCAAGATAATTTATAGATTCAGTGCCATCCCCATCAAGCTACCAATGACTTTCTTCACAGAATTGGAAAAAACTACTTTAAAGTTCATATGGAACCAAAAAAGAGCCCGCATTGCTAAGTCAATCCTAATCCAAAAGAACAAAGCTGGAGGCATCTCACTACTTGACTTCAAACTATACTACAAGGCTACAGTAACCAAAACATCATGGTACTGGTACCAAAACAGAGATATAGACCAGTGGAACAGAACAGAGCCCTCAGAAATAATGCCACATATCTACAACTATCTGATCTTTGATAAACCTGAGAAAAACAAGAAATGGGGAAAGGATTCCCTATTTAATAAATGGTGCTGGGAAAACAGGCTAGCCATATGTAGAAAGCTGAAACTGGATCCCTTCCTTACACCTTATACAAAAATTAATTCAAGATGGATTAAAGACTTAAATGTTAGACCTAAAACCATAAAAACCCTAGAAGAAAACCTAGGCAATACCATTCAGGACATAGGCCTGTGCAAGGACTTCATGTCTAAAACACCAAAAGCAATGGCAACAAAAGCCAAAATTGACAAATGGGATCTAATTGAACTAAAGGGCTTCTGCACAGCAAAAGAAACTACCATCAGAGTGAACAGACAACCTACAGAATGGGAGAAAATTTTTGCAACCTACTCATCTGACAAAGGGCTAATATCCAGAATCTACAATGAACCCAAACAAATTTACAAGAAAAAAACAAACAACCCCATCAAAAAGTGGGCGAAGTATATGAACAGACACTTCTCAAAAGAAGACATTTATGGAGCCAAAAGACACTTGAAATAATGCTCATCATCACTGGCCATCAGAGAAATGCAAATCAAAACCACAATGAGATACCATCTCACACCAGTTAGAATGGCGATCATTAAAAAATCAGGAATCAACAAGTGCTGGAGAGGATGTGGAAAAATAGGAACACTTTTACACTGTTGGTGGGACTGTAATTTAGTTCAACCATGATGGAAGTCAATGTGGCGATTCCTCAGGGATCTAGAACTAAAAATACCATTTGACCCAGCCATCCCATTACTGGGTATATACCCAAAGGATTATAAATCATTCTGCTATAAAGACACATGCTCACGTATGTTTATTGTGGCACTATTCACAATGGCAAAGACTTGGAACCAACCGAAATGTCCAACAATGATATACTGGATTAAGAAAATGTGGCACATGTACACCATGGAATACTATGCAGCCATAAAAAATGATGAGTTCATGTCCTTCGTAGGGACATGGATGAAGCTGGAAACCATCATTCTCAGCAAACTATCACAAGGACAAAAAACCAAACATCACATATTCTCACTCATAGGTGGAAATTGAACAATGAGAACACATGGACACAGGAAGGGGAACATCACACACTGGGGCCTGTTGTGGGGTGGGGGCTGGGGAGAGGGATAGCATTAGGAGATACACCTAATGTTAAATGATGAGTTAATGGGTGCAGCACACCAACATGGCACGAACATGTATACATATGTAACAAACCTGCACGTTGTGCACATGTACCCTAAAACTTAAAGTGTAATAAAAAAAAATAAAGGACTACACACCAAAAAATAAAAATAAATAAATAAATTTAAAACAATTTCCTAAAACGTATTTTTTAAAAAATTTTAAAATGTAAATTTTTTATTTAATTTTTTATTTTCAAGTAGACCATATGTTCCTTGAGGACACTGACTTTTTTTCCAGTCTTTATTACCCTTTGTATCTACAAAGTGTAACATTTAATGCATCATAAGTACCTAATAAATGTATCCATAGATTTATTAAATTTGATTTTTTAATGTAGTCACATACAATTGCAGAAGTAGATTGTGCTACATCATTTGCAAATTATCCACTTCTGGTGTTAAATAGATTATTTATTGGAATTGTTTGGATTATCAATATGAGTGACATTGATAATATTCTCGCATTTTATTTATGACATACAGGCCCTAAATGTTACGTTCTCAAGAAGGCTATTTGACATGTTACTATGTTAGGATAGATTATACAACATTATTTTTTCTGCTTATGCATAGCATTTTATATTGTTAATGAATATTCACATTGATTACCGTTCACACTCACTAGGTAAGATAGGTAGTATGCTATTGTCTGAGTCCATTTTTTGTTGTTATAACTGAATACCTGAGACTGGGTAATTTACAAATAGAAGAAATTTATTTCTTATAGTTCTGGAAGCTGGAAACTCTAAGGTCAAGAGGCTGCATCTGTTCACTTTCTGGTGAAGGTCTCATGCTGCCTTATAACACAGTGGAAACCATCATAGCACAAGAGAGGCACATGAAAGACAGCCAAGTTGGCTTTTACAATGGACTCACTCTAATGATAACTAACCCACTCCCATGATAATACATTAATCCATGAATAGATTAATCAGTTCATGAGGGCAGAGTCCTCGTGACTCATTCGCGTCTTAAAGGCCCCAACTCTTAAGACACTTACATTGGGGATTAAGTTTCAACATGAGTTTCAAAAAGGAAAAACATTCGCATGATATCAGCTGTAAATAAATCAAAATATTTAAGTTGCCCACATCCCACACATACAGAAACACACCCCAAAATGAAAGACTTAGTGTTAAAAATTAGATCTCTTAGGCCATAGCCTAGAGCATTTTTAAGTAAGTGGCCTGCTTTATAAGCCCCCAAGGAAGATAGAGAAGGACCCATGGAAAGCTTAGCCTAGAAGTAAATAAAATATGTACCTTGGATTTGAAGTATAAAGATTCCAAATATCTTTAGTTAGGCAAAATGAACCCTCTTGGGTATGACAGTGGTATTTTCTATGTTCAACAGTTCCGTTTAGTTTGGAATTCCATGATGTGGAACAAAGAAGAAAAATCTGTTTTAGTATGCCCCTGTCACTATTTAAGGAGAATTCTCATCAGTAAAATATGGCTTAACTATAGCAATTTAGCTACTTTGATGGTTTTCACCACTAGAGTGCCTTTGTCATCTTACATGTGTTGCTTACCATTCAAAATGGCAGGTTCATCAGCAGTTACACACACTAAAATTGTGACCCCAAACACTTCTGCAGTTAACACTTATCTTTAAGAGATCTCATGATAAATTTCAGAAGGAATATGAAATTTTGTGTATGTCCTTATTTAACACATAAGCATATTTTCTGGGAAAAGTTTATATTGGTTTGATCAGATTCTCATGGCTTAAGGAAACGAGTTGAGGATATTATAAGTGCAGTTATTCTAGAATGTAGATTAGTAGATGACTAAACCTAAGGGTACCTTTAAATGTTAAGAAATAATTTTTGATCTGATTATAAATCAGCATGTAACTTATGACATTATTTCTTATAGAAGAAAACTCTCATAAGGCAAGTTTTTTAATCAACATGAATGTGTTCATTAACAAATTATCTCTTATAATTGTACCTAGACCTTATTTTTAATAACTGTTCCATCATCAAAATTTTGATTTCATGCATCCAATCCCTTGACATTGTCATCTAATTATTTGACTCTTATCCTCCTAGCATGACAACTGTAATGCTCTTATACTAAACATTTTTCAACTCACCTGGATCTCCAGCTCACATATCACATACTCACCATATCTCACTTCACGTTCTTACTTACCTTCTTAATTTAGATTCCATGGCCCGTTGTTATAACCATTCTGTGAATATGCCTACAACACCTTTGCTCATATTTCTCTTAATTTATATTCACTAGCTAAAGATGCCTATTTTAATGGATGGAGTGTTTATAACCTATTGGGCCAAATGCTCACCTGTGCACCAGAGTCTGTTTTCTATCACCTCTGACCTATTCTAAGAATTTGTTCCTGAAATATTCACTTTTTCTCCTGCATCAAGAATTTCCACATTCAGTAGGCACTTTGCATAACTGTAGACACTCTTTAAAATAGAATCGAGAGTCTTCTGTTACAAAGCATAAGGTGGAAGGAAGGGAAGAGCACAGCAGCAAAAGTTGTTTTCCATCACATTTTGGTAGCATATCACAGTATATTAGCTGCATAAGAAAGGAAACAAAATGGAAGTTACACAGTGAAAAGATGATGAAATCAATGAATTCTGCATTTGGAGGCAGAAAAATTGTCGAGTGCTTTAAAAGTGTAGGTGAGCTGAAAGTAGGTAATTAGAGTAGAATGGCTAAATTTGAGATGCGAGCTGCAATATAGTTATTGTTAATGAAAATATTTTGAGTTAGTCCTTGCGAGTGGTAAAAAAGTGGAGTGGAAGACAAGTAATAGAGGGGTCAATGTTTTGGTCAAATAATTACATACTTACAGAAGACACCAAAATCAAGGTAAGAGTAGTGTTGAAAAGGAACACAGTGATCTAGACAGGAAAGCTTTGCATAAATGTGGTGTGAAGGTGGAAACTGACATGGATATAAGTAGATGACTTCAATAAAAAGGTTTAGTCTGATAGCTTGTACTTTAGAAAAACTGAGTATCTGTAGAAGACAATGTAGAACTTGTCTGAAAAAGAGCAAACGAAAGCCAGAATCATATCACTCATCCCTAGGACCTGAGGTAACATGTGAAAGGGAGATAGAAAAAAACAAAAACAAAATCAGAAATAAAGCTCCACTTGAGAAAGCTGCAGAGGAATTGTCCTCAATGAACAGTCAAATTTCCATAAGAACAAGAAATAGAAAAGACATTCAAATCAGGTTGATAACACGAGATTACTGGTCCTTCACAAATCTCAAAGTGCTGTGAGAGTCAAAAGCACCATGAAATCTTTGGGACATCTGTTGAAATTGGCTATTTCTAAGGGGATATTAAAATTATCCCTGATTTATGTTCACTAGCCTCAGATACAGTCTCTGGTATACTAAGGGCATTCTTAAAGCATTTTATAATTTTACCTGATTAAATATATTTATGTTTGAGTCTCAGCCAAGAGAGTGAGTCAGAGCTTATTCACTGGAGTGATAACACACTACAGGGAAAATAGAGGTGGACCTCATATTCAATTGAATTGATCATTTGTAAGGTCAACATGTGGCAATCAATTTTGTACCCAGATCTTAATAGCACATCCAAAATATAGTAAAGGTTTTGAAGGGTTGATCTTGTCTTTAATTATTTCTTTCTAATCACTAATGATAAAATTGAATCAAACTATTTTTTCATTATTGTATTAAAAAAATCCACTTCTCAGTATTTCATTTACTATCAACATTATAGATTATAAAAATCTATTTTGTAACTGGTACTGAACAAGGGGAATCAAGAGTATATAATGAAATATATACTTAAGAAATATATATTTAATAATGTATATATTAAGAAATATATATTTAATAATATATATATTAAGAAATATATATAAGGAATAAGTAAACTTTCTTTTGACAATTGAGAAATCACTTGTGAAATTAGCTAATGTCATAAAGTACATGATGAATAAAAACTGGAATAAAGGGAACTGGATTCGCTTACAAAATTGTGTCATTGCACTTTGATAACTCTGGCCATTTTCCCACAAGAGTATGTATCTGTCAAGCTGACTTTAAATGTAAACCTCAGCTGCTCAAGGTGCTCTCTGATAATTTTATAGCTGTAGAAAGATTACAAATCAAGGTCACTATGCATACGTAGTATTATTAACTTAGTTTTGGAAGAAAAAGAAAAAACAAAATAGATTAATTTCATGTTTGTTTTTAGTTGGCACCTTTCCTGTAGTCAATGCTAATTTTAATGGTTGATTTGGAGAGAAGGCATATAGGAAAGATAAGAATAAGAATAATTAATATTTGCATAGTAACAGTAGTTCAAAAAATGTTTTCATATACTCCGTAAAGGAGGCCTTACTCTACACATGAAGATAAGGAGGGTTAAAAAAAAGTTAAAGTATTTGTTCAAAGTTTCAATAGACATTAAAAAGCAGTTCTGAGGTTATGCCTTTCCATATCATAAGAACATAATTTTTATATATTTCACCCTGGAGTGTTTTAAAAGCCACTTTAAAATATTAACATGCTATTTGAAAATAAGAGGCTAACTGATATGCATAAAAAATCAGAAAACATTACATAAAAGGAATTGTCAACAATGACAGAAGCCTAAAGAAATTCATGCCTGAGAAAACAGATTGGTTCAGTTTGAAAGATGTGTGAAGAGAACTGGGATTTAAAAGGATTTAGTGGGATAAAGAAATTGTTTAATGGAATAATAACCTGGGAAAGAAACATAAGGAATAGGAAGGAGGAAGCCAAAGTCTAGCTTTATATTGTGAGCTTTTATTTCTGACTGTTTAAAATTAAGGATATGTCTATGCCGAGTTGTCTTGCATTTGGGCTGAGTTTTATTTGGTGTGTCCAGAAGGGACCTCTGACTTACGGTGCTCAGCACTGGAAGAGCAACTCAAAAACTAATCACTGAAGTTTCCGTTTTTGCCTTGTCATTTCATGTTTTTAATGGATTGAGCTGAACTAGAGCTAAATAATTTCCAAGTGACAAGTTATTTCCCTAGAAGAGAAATAGTTTACTCAGAGGGTAGGGCACAAGAACTTATAAAACTAGCTCTCTTTTTTAAATTGTCTTTTGAGTGAATTTTAGGGCTGAGAGGTTGTTTTCAGATTTTTCAAAGGTAAAGCTAGGTAGAAAAAATAAACAATTTATATTTCTGATTATAAAAACATAAGTATATAGCTATCTGCCTACATCCAACTCAATTTAAACTAAAAATAGTAAAAGCATGTATAGAAAGCTTAATAATTAGAAATAATATTTTGTGCCTATCTCAATACTAAGGGAAATTTGAGCTTTAAGAGACTTAAATTCACATCTGAAACGTATCTGACTTTGTATTAAATCTTGTAAAGAAATTATATAGTTGACTACAATTATGGCAGAAGGAATGTACTAATTATTGGTGACTCAGAATGCAGCAGAAGTAGAGAGGGTCCCTTGTTAAATGTAAAGGGTTACTCAGGTAGCTGTTGTTATTACTGTAATCTACTGTTCAAGAAAATGCAGAAAGACTAGAATTCACTTTTATTTATTTTTCATTTACAATATTTGGCAGTATACTATTTTTTTTCTGGTTTATTTTCTTGATAGAGCAATGACACTGACCAAAGTTCTAGTTTTCATAACATTTTTTTCAACGCAAGATTTATAATAAAGAACAGTGAGTGGTTTACATTTTTGCTACTACAAACATATAGATAAAAATTTGTAAAGTATAATATTCTGTATTGAAAAGATGCAACTAGCTCAGAATGAGTAACTCATTAATAGATCATTTGTTTAAAAAGTAAAACTCATATTTTATGATACAAACAAATAGTTGATTGATATATTTTTAAACCAATTATTCTACATTGAAAGTTGGGAAAAGGATGGTTCTTCTTTGTTTTATAACCTACTAAGGATCCACAACTTTACTTTGTATTGTACTCCTTAGTAATATCTAATTAGACTTTTTGATCATTGCTTAGGAAACTTGCAGAAAACTGTTAACCATAGCTTTATGATATAATGCATTTATCTACTTCATTTTTTTACCTACACAGAGATAGCAAGGACATTCATGTATACGTGTGTTCAGAAGCCATTTCATAAGGTGGAACATAAATTCTCTATTTTGCAGAGAAGCATTTAGTGAATAGTCTGTTTTTGTTGTCGTCTGAAAGCCAGTTTTACTTTTTCCCTGCACAACTTATAGATCCAAAATAACTGCAACAATCTCCTTTGAGTTGGTCTGATTTCTTAGCTGAATCCAATTCTCCTGGAAAAAGAAATAAAAGCTCCAATTTCTAGAATTGCTTTGCTTGACTGTGTGACCAGTATTACAAGTTCTATTGAATGCCTAATGATATTATTGATAGAGATAATTGGTAAAGTTTACCAATTTACATACCTATTATAACAGCTAGTCACACAAAGCATTCACTAAAATATATTTGATGCTCAAATTTTAAAGATTATTAATTCTATTCAGTGTACTTGCTCTGCCATTTATACAGAAAACTACACACAGTTTGATAATCTTTGATAAACTGCCAACTGTTATGTACTCTGAATATTGCTTCAATGTGTTTATTCACTTAAAATATCGATTTAACTGGGAATGTCTTAATATAGAAAATACTTAGCACTACACAAAGTAAAAATAAGCTTTTTTCTTTCTTGTTTATATAGAAAGCCATTAATTCACATTATGTGTTAGTAGAATAATATTGATTGACAAAACATATATTGTCTCTTATGTTTCACCCCATTGTGAATTTTGAGCTATTATCTTAATTGTTCATTTAAATGAGAGTAGCAATTGGTTTTCCATTTTATGTAATGCATCTTTTTTTTTACTTGTCCCTTTTATCATTTTGACCTGAGGTTAATAAATACAGGAAATAACTTACATGGAAAGATTAATTTAATTTTAATGTCTTCTAGGTATTAGATCTTTCTGCTCTGTTGGGTATAAAGTAAAAACATTAAAGGAAAATGAACACTTAAAAATATGGTTTCATCATTCAGTGTGAACCCTTAAGGTACTAAAGGTAATAAACAAAAGGGGAAGAGATGAAATCAAAATGTACAAGCGGCTGCACTGTATTTGATGCTACTTTGTTGTCTGGATGTTCTGCTTATTGTCAAAGAAAACAAATTCTTCCAAAGCATGAAAATTTAGTTTTGATATTGTGTGCATATTGTTTTGATGGGCCTTCTTTTAATAAAGTACCCAAGACTTTGAAACTATCAAATTTACTTTAGAAAGCTATGGGGTTTATCCTGGGGCCAACAGGTAAAAATCTATGAAGACAGGCTAAAAAAGATTAAGTACTCTCTTGGGAAGAACATAATTAAGAAAGATCTCACTGAAATTCACAGAACTGAACATGATAGAAATAATGTCAAGCAGACTATTTTCCACTTAAAGAAGATAACAAGATGAGAGTTCATGAATGGGACTGGGGGAAAACGGAAATTCAAGGCAGATGTCAGGAAATACTTTTTCATAAAAAGAATCACAAATACTTGGGAAGGAAGTCTAAATAGAAAAGCTAAAGGTAAAGTGAAATTATTGACTGTAAAGATTCAAGAAATTTTAATACACATTTTAAATGTGGAATATAAAATAATGGAATACACAATTATTTTTCGGTTTGACTTGCTTATTTTTACATGCAATAACACAAGTCCAAAATAAACAATAAAGCATGCAATTCAAACTAATTTTAAATTATGAAAAATGGTGAAAGGGAGGGAGGCAGTACTAGTTTTACAAAATAAACTTTTTTAACCTACTAAATATAAATCACTCATTCAGTAAAGCGACTCTGGAATTGACAGAATCCTGTTAATTTTGAGAGATTATGCCAGTGTCTCTAATCAAGCACCAGTGTTGTAGCTCCAAGTTTTCTTAAATATAGTCACTTTACTTAAAGTCACTTACCTTTAAGTGGAAAATATTGAATCATATAAATTTTGAGAACTACCAGTATCCTAAAGATTATTAGATTCCATTCTTTAAAGTTACAGAAATTTAATGAATACTTACTAAATATCAGACCTAGACCCCAAAATCAGAACTCTGACAAGCCCTAATAATTTCATGTCCTAGGGGAACTCAAAACCAATAGGTCTAAGACTCTTTTCTTTCCACCTCTTTCAAACAGCTTTGACCTTTTATCTGCATATTTCTGGACCTCATATTATTAATAGTTATTGCTCAGAAGTCCTCATTCTTTTTAGTGGAAAATTGTTGTTATAAAATATAATCTGAACTTTGTCAGTATACAGAATTTGGAATGATTTAACTTAAAAAACAATATTGATTATGAGATCACGCTGGTATTTCCATTTCATATTACTATCCTAGAGTCTTAACGTTTTGATTTTATAATTATATCTCTCTTTTTATACATTATGAATTATGGTTCCTAACAATATTTATAAACCTGTAATTACTTCTTTACTTTATTCTCAACATATACAGAATATGTTCAAAATAATAATACCCATATCGTAACTGGTAATAAGTCTCCTGAATGCATTTGTAAGTTGTTTATTTGCTTTTGGAATACATTCCATTAAGTACGGAAACCCAAATCTATTCTAAAAAGCACTTGTGCCTTCTGCCATGTGAGGACTCAGTGAAAAGGTGCCATCTATGAACTGGAAACAGGCCCTAATCAGACATCAAATCTGCTGGAGCCTGATCTTGAACTTCCCTGCCTCCAGAACTACGAAAAATAAATTTCTATTGTTTATAAGCTGAAAAAAACATGCCTGAAGTCTTTATGCATTTATACATATATCTTTATGCATTTATACATTTGTCTTTATGCATTATGTCAGCAACTGGAAAAACAGATAACATTTGTTCAGTTGGCTTTTCATTTTTAGGATTTTTTTTTCAATAGACTTTGCTTTTCCATTTCATTTTAGTTTTGAGTATTTAAAAAACTTTATTATTCCAAGGTCAATCCTGAATAACAAGTAATATTCAGGGAAATATTATTTCCATCTTGTCCCCTCCACTATGCTCTCCCATCACATGACAATAGTGATTTATTATGATTTTCTTTATATGTAAGTGTTACTATTTGCAAATTTAAGAAAATTTATGTAGCATTCCAGTAACTCTACCCAACCAGTTGTCAAACCAGAGACTTAAGAATCATTCTTGTCTGTAGTTTTGCTTCTTTTTTAGATTGCTTGAATTTTTTTTCCTACAACTTATACAATATCTTGTCCTGTTCACATCTAACAGCTATCAAATTATCCTCTTGCCAGCAATCATTTATCCCACCAAAATATCATCCACATAACCTAGAAAGTTATCTTTTTATAAAATAGAAGTCATACAATATTACATCTTTCATTGATTATACATTGCTTACAGAACTAAGATTCAAATTCAGATCTTCAGACTAAAAATTTAATCCCATTTCTATTACAAATATTTGTCTCCCTAAGTCTAAGGGTTTTGTTTTGTTTTGTTTTGTTTTGTTTGAGACAGAATCTCACTTTGTCACCCAGGCTGGAGTGCAGTGGCACCATCTCGGCTCACCAGGTTCAACCTCCGCCTCCCAGGTCCAAACCATTCTCATGCTTCAGCCTCCAGAGTAGCTGGGACTACAGGTTTGTGCCACCACAACCAGCTATTATTTATAGTTTTAGTAGAGATGGGGTTCCACCATGTTGGCCAGGCTGGTCTCGAACTCCTGACCTCAAGTGATCCACCTGCCTCGGCCTCCCAAAGTGCTGGGATTACAGGTGTGAGAGCCACTGTGAGGGGCCAGTCTAAGATGTTTTAATGTCCAGTACATTTATGAATCACCTTCTTTGTTATTGATTTACTTTATGTTCCAAGAAGGTAGAACATCTTCCATATCACATAAAATTATATAATTACACATTATCTAAGAAGAAAATATTGCCATGGAATAACAAAAACAGGCTTTAAAGAGCCTTAATAATGTGTTTTTTCAGTATTAGTTACATAATTCATATTTGAAGATAAAATTAGTAAGCATAGCTCTAAAAGATGAAGTGTCATTTCTTCAGCCACTAATCTACAGAGCTGTCTAAATTCATATATATCACATTTGGGATAGACACATGAATTCAGATATTTTGGGTCCCTGTTCTAATATCTTGAGTAACATTCAGAAAAACTAAGATCTCACATAGACATGGAAATGTATAATAAAGTTAAGATGCATGGAACTCACTAAGAAAACCCTTCTTATATACATCCTGCTTACTTCTTTGATATATTTGATATCTTGTTATTGAAGCCTTTAACAACTGAGTGCAACTACCACTGATTTCAAATAAGTCTGATGATTAATGGAGCACAAACATTTGTGAGTCATCGACTGAAAGCCTTAGTCTAAGAGCATATCTTTAATAAGACATAATTGAGACTGGTTAACTGTGATGTGTATGTATTCATTTTACTTTTCATGGAAATTTTAAAATAAATAAACTAAATAGATACATGTGGCATTATATTAAAGACCTATTGGTATTTTATTCTAACTGTTTTAAGTAGACAAAACTCTTTTCTAGTCAATTTGGTACATAACCAGTAGTCTAATTTTTTTGGCATATAAAAAGTAATAAAATGTCTATACTGAAATCATATTGCACACTTGGTGAACAAGCAATAAATATATGTTAATTATATACTCAAAATTCTTTCATTCAAAAAAATTTACTGCCAGGTACAGTGGCTCATGCCTATAAACCTAACATTTTGGGAGGCCAAGGCAGGAAGATTGCTTGAGGCTGGGAGTTAGAGACCACCTTGGGCAACCTAGAGAGACCCTGTCCCTATAAAAAAAATAAAAATAAATAACCAGGAGTGGTGACACATATCTGTAGTCCCAGCCACTCAGGAGGCTGAGGTGAGAGGATCAATTGAGCCCTGGAGTTCAAATCCACAGTGAGCTATGATTAGGCCACTGCACTTCAATGTGGGTGACAGAGTGAAACCCTATCTCTAAATGATAATAATAAAAATAATAAATTTTAAAAATTTACTGATAATTAAATTCAAGTCATTATGCTAGGCTATCGGAGACAGAGAGCATTAAAATGAATAAAATTGCATTACTGTTCTTAAAGAGATTGAAATTTAAAGAGGGAGAAAGCATAATAGCAACTACTGTGCAAATAATAATGCTCTGACTGGATTAAGAAAATGTGGCACAAATATACCATGGAATACTATGCAGCCCTAAAAAATGATGAGTTCATGTCCTTTGTAGGGACATGGATGAAGCTGGAAACCATCATTCTCAGCAAACTATCTCAAGGACAAAAAACCAGACACCACATGTTCTCACTCTTAAGTTGGAATTGAACAATGAAAACACTTGGAGACAGGAATGGGAACATCACACACTGGGGCCTGTTGTGGGGTGGGGGGAGGCAGGAGGGATAGCATTAGGAGATATACCTAATGTAAATGATGAAATAATGGGTGCAGCACACCAACATGGCACATGTATACATATGTTACAAACCTGCACGTTGTGCACATGTACCCTAGAACTTAAAGTATAATATATATATATATATGAAAAGAAAAAAAATAATGCTCTGAAATTCCCACTCTTAACCCCTCACAAAAAAAAAAAATAGAGATGAAGAGAAAATAAAACTTTTTAGGTATTTTTTGAAGGTTTCAGGTGGAATGTTTGTTAGTCACTAGAAGGGAAGGCTTGTGAGAACAGGGGTTATATGGTTTGGGCCTTTGTCCCCACCAGAATCTCATGTTCTGTTGTAATCTCCAATGTTGGAGGTAGGTCCTGGTGGGAGGTAATTGGGTCATGGGGTGGATCCTTCATAAATGGTTTAGCACCATCCCTTTGGTGTTGTTCTAATGGTAGAATTCTCATGAGAAATGGTTGTTTAAAAGTGTGTAGCACCTCCCCTGTCTCTCTCCCCTTCCTGCTTTGGCCAGGTAAGACGTGCCTGCTTCTCCTTCGCCGTCTGCTATGATTTTAAATTTTCTGAGGCCTCCCCAGAAGCCAAACAGATGGCCAGCATCATGCTTCCTGTACAGCCTGTGGAACCGTAAGCTACAGGCTTTTCTTGATAAATTATCTAGTCTCAGGTATTCTTTATAGCAGTGCAAGAACTGACTGATTCAATTGGATATGGTGTCCAATAAAGGAGTTAAGGAATGGACAGGTTGCTGGGGCTGGCTAACAATATTATGAGAGAGGATTGCAGGTCAAAAAGGCCTATTCCATAGATTAATTGTTGATGACAAATACTGAATGATAGAGTTGTTGGAATAGGAGATTTCCTTGAATAAAATGCTAACTCAGAAGGTAGACTAATTATAGATCAGCCAGTCTTTACATTCTAAATGAAATCTCAATATGGGCCTTGTTAAAATTAAAATCAGATGTGAATGTTCATTTCTTACTGATGAGCCTCTCCCAGAAAAAGTTATATCAATAACTGTGAAAGATTTACCCTACTTTCAAGTTAACAAGTTAACCTGCCACGATTTCATAGATGCTGGCAGAAAATATGAAACTCCTAGGCCAGAGATAAAGTGCATTATAATTCACAGTAATAGCAGTAGCAAGAGTGTCAGTATTTTCTTGAGCTGATTCCTCAAGACTCAATTCTTGCAGAAAGACCCAGTTATTATTAATTGAGTATTTGGACCCAAGGCTGTACTTATTACCAATGAGAATCTTGGCATTAAGCTTCATTATGTGTATTGTTAAAAAATATCTGTAGATAATTTTGATTTACAGTCTTTGTTAAAAACAATTCAATAAAGAATGAATTTGAAAAAGGTTTGTTAAGCTTAAATCACATTGGAAAGACAACAATTACTAGTTAAGTCTCTATTGTAAACTTTTTGTGTGTTCAGTACCATGCTAGAATTTGAAGAAAAAAAAATCTTAGATGACATGTGTTTTGTAAAAATTTGCATTATAACTGGAATTATAAAAATATAAGCATAATTCAGAGAAAAAAGTACATGGAACACAGATTAAAAGTATGGTATGTATGTAAAATAAAAAATGTTATTAATCTGAGAATAATATGTCATATTATGACTTGTTAATTAGAAACTGATTTTCATATATACCATAGAAATTGTTTCAATAATTAATTAATTAATCCATATTTCTGCTGTGTATATATATATAGAAAATGAAAGGTGCTATAGACAGTGCCTAAAACTATACTCTCTGGAGCCGAAGCACCTTAGTTGAAATCCAGCTGTTTTTCTCAGAATAAATGATTTTCGTCTCTCTAGGCCTCTAAATCCTCACAGGTAAAATCAGCATAATAATTGCATCTACTACCTGGATTGTTGTCATGATTAAAAAGTTAACATATGTAAAATCTTTAAAAAGTGTTTGTGTCACAGTGACTACTTAGTACATTTAACTTTTATCATTATTTCCAGGCCCTGAATTACTGTGCCATATGCTTGTCCCCCAACAAAGCACATACAGATAATTGTTTATTTGCTTGACTGTGTTTCTTGCTAGATTGTAAACACCATAAGATTAGGTACCATACTGTACTTATCATACCTGCAATACTTGCACAATTTCAGATCTGCTATAGCCATGTCATAGTTATGGAGTAGGGGAGAGGAGAAGGAGGAAGGAAAGAAACAAAGAAAGCAACAAGAAAAAGAATGAAAATGGTTTCTCCCCTTAAGAAACTCATATTTTATTAGGAGAACAGATGTGCATGCGGCTGATTAAAGTACACTTGCAATGTTTTGTTGAGGAGTAAGTAACAGATGAAGACTAGGGATAGCTATCTAAAGATGGGGAGACTCGTAGCGGTTTGGGGGACTATGGATGGGAGGGTATTCCGGTTAGAGGAAGCAACATAAACATAGAAATGGAGGCGTTAAAAGACATAGAATCTGCAGGGGAAAATGAGTTCACTTTGGCTTCAATATTATGTTCATAGGGAAAATTGAATACCATACAAAGCTGTGGTGGTAAATTAGATCCAGACTTCACAGGACTCGGTATGTCATAACCTTTGTTTACATGAGATGAACTCAGTTTTGTTTTTGTTTTTGGATTTCTTTTTTTGTTCAAACACTTATTTATTTTACATTTCATGTGCCTTGTAGTTACTTTGAAAAAAATAAAAAAATTGAAGTATTTTCTTTAATTCTGCTAGCTTTTGGTACATTTGTATGGTAACTATTTTTGTTAAAAGTAAGTATATGTAACATGTTTTATCACTCTGTCATTGGAAATTTGAGCCAGTCGCTGTGCTACGAGGCCCTCTAAATAATTAAGACATAACTAGAGGGCTGTGATTCAGTAAATCATGGTGCTAGCCCAGGGATTGGAAAGGGCCTCGGGTTTCTAACCCCCAGCCCGCTAATGAATCCCCTCTACAACATCGCCACCAAGTGGCCATAGAACCCCTACGGGAGGCGCTGGACTGGGTTAGAGAATGCTTTGCTCTGCAAGTAAAACCATAGTGAGTTAGACTTTAAAGGTAATCAACAAAAAGTAGTGTGTTTAATTTAAAACGCGTGTCAGTATTTATCATTAAGGTCCCCAATTCTTAGGGAAAATCCATTTCTTTTTTTAACAGAACTTGAGGAATAGAATTGAAACAGATATTTCCTAACCTTAACAATATTCATTTTTAAATGTTTCTTTCCACACATAGTCTTCTGGACAGAGGATAAGTAAAAGAAGCCAAGGGTTCATGAATATGAACAGAGATACAGCAAAAAGAAAGCAGGAAAAAAGAGAAAAGAAATGGACAACACACTAAAAATGGCTTAGTGGGCTGCTATTTGCCTTAGGTTTTTATTTTTATTTAAAGGATGAACACAACATTACTTTAAAAACATTTATTAGTATTACAGGTAGTGTTAGATCAGCTAGTGTTTCCATCAACCCATGCAGTAAACACTTGGAAGTATAAACATATAACACCTGGCAACATATAAGCAGAATTTGAAATGAGTGGAAAGGAATGATGACAAATAACGAGGTATGGGCCGCTTGTTCCTAAATATACAGAGTTGGCTTATTTTGCCAACTCAATGTTCGGGACGTAATTTTATTAAGTTGATGCTACAGATACTTATCGTTCTCATAAAGCAACTACAATAACAAAAACAAAAGTAAATAAAATAGCCAACACTGAGCCAAAACCAAACTTTCTTTTTGTGAAGAAGAAAATATAAATTATTTACCCTATGAGAACAACAGGTAACAGTATTTATTCCCCATCTCAGTAAGGACAGAATTATTTGTGGGTAAAAAAATAATGTTACCTCTGGAAATTTGCAGCTATAGATATGTATTTTCTAAATTAGTTTCACTGTTACAGGGCAAATCATCAAACCATCAGCAGTATAAAATGTGGCACCAAGATATTTCATGTCCAGACACTATTGCCAAAATTCTACTCTTTCATCCCTCTTAATATATTTGTTCCTTTATATATTTTTTATACTGTGCTTTGTTCCAGAGTGACACACACACAAATACACACATGTATACATACATAATACACACACTTAAAAAATTGAGTGTATAGTTGAGTGACTTAGGTTGAAGAGAAAATAAAAAAAAGAAAATTATAAAACCAGGCCCAATAAGCCATACCAGGTGGTCCAGTGAAGTCGCTAAAAGTGATGACCATTAGATGAGACTAAAAATAGGCTCTAAAACCTTTCTTCTCAGACTCACAGGACCATAATTATCATCATTTCAAAACTGTTCATCACACTGACTGTGTTTCCACTCTTTGTGACCACCATTCGATGTCATTAGAGTCTTTGTTTGTCAAGATGATTGGATGTTGCTCTTGGGTGTCCCTGCTGATGAGGAATGTCAGTATAGCTTTTAGGACTGGGTGTAGGAGGGTGGCCTAAAATGATTGACTCATTTTACTCTTTGGTACTATGTAAAGAACGCATATCCTGAAATTGGCTTCCCTCCTAGAACCCACACTTTATGTGTCTGAAGGTATTGCAAACAGAGTAATTGCACAAAATTCAGCTCAGAACCCCAAGCTTTTACCAATGGGCCTGAAAACATTTCTTCTTCCTTTGCTGGAGATGGGATCTTTGTTTTTATATCTGTTAGGCTTTACTCCTTTTTTTTTTTTTTTTTAGACGAAGTCTCGCTCTTGTCCCCCAGGCTCTTGTCTCGAGTGCAATGGTGCAATCTTGGCTCACTGCAACCTCCACCTCCCAGGTTCAAGCCTTTATTCTTAATATTGCTACATAACTAAAAAGAGGTTTTTTTCTTTTTTTTTTTTTTTCCTTTTTTGGAGAAGGAGTAGGGAAAATGCTCTAACAATAGAACCAATGTCTCAACAATTTCAGGAATAAATTCTTAATATGCAATTTCAACTCATTTGACTAAATGGAAAGATATTTTCAATGTACCTTGTGATCAAATACAACTGAAAATTTGATAAAAATTTAACTAAAAACAAAACTGTAACTTCATCCATGTGGCTTTGATCACAGCACCTCATCCAAATATACACCCTACAAAAAAATCCATTTCTGTCTATTAAATAGTAACAGCCAACTATACAATATTCACAACCATATAGCACATAATGTTATGGCAGCCACTGTTCCAAGAGTTTACAGAAAGTAATCTATTTACCTTTGCAAAAATCCTAGGTAGGAACTACCTATGGTAGGAATTATCACTGTGTGACAAATAAGGAAACTGAGCCACTGAGAGATTAAATAACTTGCCTAGAATCACACAGCTAGTGAGCGGCAGAGCCAGGATTCACCCTGCATTCTGAGTCCAGAGCCCATGATCTCATCCATTAGATATTCTGCGTCTCAGAGAGGTGTAAAGTTTTTATGTTAACATATCTTTCAGTACCATATTAGGTTACGTATTTTATCCTCAGTTTTTGATCTGACTAGGCAATTACAAACTTCTTTGGATATTAGTTAATCTGAAACTTTAGGTGTGTAAATATAGTTACTTAAATTCTCAAGCATCTTTGATATGCTTAGGTAGGCTGATCAAACAATAAACCAGAATTAATTCTAGGTGTGACATGGGAAGCCATTTTAACACTCTGTGGCTAGGTTTCTTCATTTGTAAAATTTGGGTTTTCATATAATATGCTTCCCAACCATAAATGGAAACTAAGCATGAATGTGATTACATAAGCCAAGATAATTAAACTCCTTTAAGAAACACTGTTATATAAAGTAGTATTTGAATTGTAGACCATCTCCCTAAGGATTCTGCCTCACTTATAACCCAACTGTACGAGTACATGGACCATGGGCATAGGAACCTCTGGGATGCTTACAAAACATATGGTTATGGAATCTCTACTTTGCCCTACTCTATCAAAATCTTTGGAAGTTTGGCAACAGTATATGTGTTTTATGAATTCCTAGGTGATTCTTACATTCTAGAATTTAGTTATCACTGCTCCTGAACAAGTCTTTGCTTCTCCAAACTACTAACACATTCAAATAACCTGGGAGCTTCAAAGAAGTTGAACCAAATGAATCCAAATCTTGGGTGGGCATGGAGCCTGAGAATATGATATTGTTAAAGCTCATCAGCTGCCTCATGCCACCTATGCACTCAGACCTACAAACCACTGCCTGCCTTTGAGTTCATAGAAAGCCATAGAAGGGAAGTACATTCTTTCTGATTTCAATAATCTAGAAATGATATTGCATTGTTAATGATAAAAATGGTTATCTTTGCCAGGCTATTCTTTTCAACTTGTGAAAATATTAATGTTGAAATACATGTTCTGCCTCGACTGTCACAAAAGTAACTGTCCAGGAAGCTCCTGTGTTGATTTCCTTTTTAGCATTATAATGGAATACTCATGGTCTAACAAGATCATGTAATGGTAGGCTTGATTACATGACTTTAGGGGTTGTTTATATTTGCGTTTGTGGAGTTTCCTGGCCTGACAACATATGAACATACTCGGTAATGAAATGCTTGTATAAACCCTAATCTTCAGGTCCCAGGTATGCTCTTGAGGCTTAAATACTATTCATGAGTGATGCTATACAGCCCGTTAAATCTCCTCACTCTTTCCATATGGAAACACTTTGCTTAAAACTGTTCTCTAGGGACAGAGAAAAAAGAGAGGAAATTATTTATCAAATATGTTGGGATTTTTACAAGGACATGCTATATACTGTATACTCAAGTGACGATTCTGAATGGACTGTGATGACCAAAGACTTTAATTTTGTGATTTAGACTGACATTAACATCTTAACTTCCCGATTCAACAAATGGTAGTTTAGCAGTGCAATAAGGCTAGACGTCACACTTAATGGTACTCTCAGAATATATTTTAGAGAAATGTATTTAGACCCTTTTATCCCTGAAAAATACTACTTTCTGCTCTTAACTTTGAAAATAAAAACAGTATGTCATAAGATAAATACAGAAATGCACAATGTAAATGAGTGAAGCTGAAGAACCAGTGGAACAGAGATGTCTCTGAGTCATTCTGGTTAGCAAAAGCAATGGATGCTTGAAAATAAAAACTGATGATTGATACAGAATAGTAAATATGGCATCACATGGAGAAATACTACTGCAGTTTCGGATAATTATCTTAGCTATAAAACTTTAAGAAACATGTCAGATCTCAAAATAATCCGAGGGAGGAAGGCTTTGCACACACTGAGGACAAATTAAATTTTCTTAGCCAACAGAAACTGGTCTGCTTTGGAGAAATCTGTGAAAGATGGATTCAGTGAGGAATGCTTTCATGAAGTTAGTATATCCTTTTAAATAGGAAAATCCTTGTAAATGATGGTGATGCTTCAAAAGCCAGACTGGAACCGAAGGGAGAGAATCCCATGAATTTGAAAGGTCCTGCTGATGGTGCTCACAAATAATGCTGTGGAGATGGTGACAGATAACAGTTTTATAGGTGAGGTGAAAATCCAGTGGTTGAGATTCTAACAGCGTATGTTTTATGTAACAACAGTAAAAACTAACTTTACAAACTGTATTGCACATTATATTTACTATTTATGCAAAATATGCAATATAGTAAACAAGAGAAAACAGATACATGCACGTTTAGGCAATAGCGTGTTGCCAAACACTTGATGTTCATTTTTCTCCATTTTAATTACATCACATTGCTCCATGCCAGAGGATATTTGGTACTTGCCCTTTGAACTAATAAATCAGTGATTCTTGTGATGATCAGGAATCTTATCTGCCTACCCCATTCTCAACTACCAAAATCTTTCCATAGTGATTATATTGGACTCATATTCCAATAGGACTACATTAGACACATAAACGTAACATCAATTTGGTCATTATATTTTAAAACTGTACAACTCAAAAAGTGCTGGTCCATGATGAAATAAGGAGCTTGCCCTAGAAAATAAATTAATGTGCTGTTTTCTTCATCAAAAAAAGTCTTTCCAAAAGAATGTCAGCTGAATCTAATAGTGTACTTTGTAATGAAATTGATTTACATTCTGAGGCAAGTTCCTTATTTCATCATGGATCAGTAACAAACAGTTCATGAATTTGGCAGCCATCTGAGAATTAAATTTTGAGTAGCACTGCTAAATGTGTTCATTTACATACATGAATGAATCTTTATATATGGGTTCAATAACGGCCCCCAAAAAGTTATGTTCCCATCCTAACCCTCAACCTGCAAATGTGACTTTATTAGGGGAAAAAATTTTTACAGGTGTAATTAAAATATCATTCAGGACATAGGCGTAGGCAAAGACTTCATGACTAAAACACCAAAAGCAATTGCAACAAAAGCCAAAATTGACAAATGGGATCTAATTAAACTAAAGAGCTTCTGCACAGCAAAATAAACTATCATCAGAGTGAACACACAACCTACAGAATGGGAGAAAAGTTTTGTAATCTATCCACCTGACAAAGGTCTAATATCCAGAATCTACAAGAAACTGAAACAAATTTACAAGAAAAACAACAACACCACCATCAAAAAGTGGGGAAAGGATATGAACAGACACTTCTCAAAAGAAGACATTTATGCAGCCAACAAACATATGAAAAAAAAGCTCATCATCACTGGTCATTAGGGTCATTAGAGAAATGCAAATCAAAGCCACAATGAGATACCATCTCACAGAAGTTAAAATGGCAATCATTAAAAAGTCTGGAAACAACAGATGGTGGAGAGGATGCGGAGAAATAGGAATGCTTTTACACTGTTGATGGGAGTGTAAATTAGTTCAACCATTGTGGAAGACAGTGTGGTGATTCCTTAAGGATCTAGAACCAGAAATACCATTTGACCCAGCAATCCCATTACTGGGTATATACCCAAAGGATTATAAATCATTCTACTATAAAGACACATGCACACATATGTTTATTGCAGCACTATTCACAATAGCAAAGACTTGGAACCAACCCAAATGCCCATCAATGATAGACTGGATAAAGAAAATGTAGTACATATACACCATGGAATACTATGCAGCCATAAAAAAGAATGAGTTCATATCCTTTGCAGGGACATGGATGAAGCTGGAAACCATCATCCTCAGCAAACTAACACAGGCATAGAAAACCAAACACCGCATGTTCTCACTCATAAGTGGGAATTGAACAATGAGAACACATGGAATCAGGGAGAGAACATCACACACCAGGGGGTGGGAGGAAGGGGAGGGAGAGCATTAGAACAAATACCTAATGCATGTGGGGCTTAAAACCTAGATGACGAGTTAATGGGTGCAACAAATCACCATGGCACATGTATATCTATGTAACAAACCTGCACGTTCAGCACATGTATCCCAGAACTTAAAGTAAAATTTAAAAAAAGAATTTAAAAATATGTATATTGAGATGACATCACTCTGGATTATCTGGATGGACCCAGAATCCAATGTCAAGTATTTTTATATGAGACAGAACAGGTGACACAGGGAGAAATTGGAGAATACCTTGTGAGGACAGAGGCAGATATTGGAGTTATGCGACCATAAGTCAAGGAACTCCTAGAGCCAGTAGAAGCTAGAAAAGGCAAGAAAGGATTCTCCTCTAGAGCCAGTCTCTAGTACTATACAAACATAAATGTCTATTGTTTAAACCACCCAGTTTGTGGTAAATTTTCACAGCAGCCTTGGGAAACTAATACAATATCCTAGGTTTTTATAGCTATAATAACTTCTAAAAATTAGCACACGCCTTTTCTGGAAATGTATATTTGGAGAATATTACATACATATACCTATTTCAAGGACAGTGATTCAGTAAGAATTGGAAAGTAATGGTTGCAATTCATATTTTAATCAAAAATAAGCAAGGGATTATCTCCCACTTGGCTCAAGCACATTTAATTGTCTTGAAAACACTAAAAATTAAATTAGCCTTTTATCACAGATATCTCTACCATATTTTTGTAAGTGGAAACAACTTTTTCTCTTTTTCAGAAATTTCCTGCCGTTAATTATAATAGTAAGGAATTGAGTAAGGAATTTGTGATATGTGTCCTGTATTTCAGAGTGTCACCCTTTTATTCTGATCTTTGCATACACATATACATACATTTAAATACATAGAAACACAATTTCAAATCCTGATATCACTAGGGGTAAAAGTTGAGAGTAAATTAATGTGTGAGCTAATAATTTATGTGTAAGAAATTCCCTCACTATCCTATCTCCAAGAGCAAATTAATTTGGAAAATAATTGAGAGAATACACTGTAATTAGCCCAAGCATTTTGTTTTGTTCTTTCTCTATAAAAGGAAACAAATAGTTTGAATTGCATCACAGTGAATCACAGTCTACAGCTCTGGATTTCTAATCCATCAGGAATAAAACCCTTTGGGGGTCTCTCACCAATATCACTTTCCCTTTCTCAAAGCATTTCTCCTACAATTCACTACATACAGTTGCACCTGCATGGTATATTCACATTCACTGTTGGAACTGCCAAAAAGTGACTTGCAGTTACCATGTTTCTGTTAAAATTAGCTGGACTCTTTCTGTCTGTGAAACATCTGCTTTGAGTGATACTGTAGCAGCTGTGATGATCTAATAGTAAACTAAGCACTTCAGTATTCAATTGTACAAAAGGGGCTTTGAGGAGAATGATAAATGACCTAAATTAGATGATGATTTTTAAGTACCTAATTTTAACCTTGCCCATAATGAATGCTTTTTTTTTCTCAAGCTTCTTTGCACCTGTCGCTCTTGGAAAGCGAGTAAAATGTGGCTGCTTGTTTGGTTCAAGTTGCTTTCTCAACAGATTGTTAAGCAGTGCCTGAAATGGTGGGACTGACCAGCATGCTATGCTTTTTCAGACCTCTCTTTTCTTTTGTTTCTTTCAATTTCCTATAGTCTTAAAGAGCAGAAACTTTCTCCAGAGATGCACATGTTCCACGGAAATAAATATTATATAAAACTATATATCCTAAAAAACTTTTTTCATATTTTAACATATTTTATTTTTAGACATCAGTATTTTCTTTACTCTGCAGGACTTTACCTACAGAAAAGATAGTATTTTGATTTCACTTTTTATTTACATGTCTATGTGGCTAGATAAATATGTGCACTACACAACATGGTTGTTGAGAAGGTATTTATGCAACCCTTTAAAATTATAACGGTAATTGATTTCTAGTCTCTTCAAAAGCAACTCCTTCCACCTCACCCATACTTTCCCTTTTGTATAGTCTAATTGGAAATAAAATATGAAATCATTTTTACCTTCTTGTAAATATTGTAATAAGATTATCCAGCTTAAAATCTAATTTCAAAACAATGTAGCATTTCCTTTGTTCCTCACAGTAGGTTCACTAAAGTACCCTTCTCCCATGACAGGTAAAGGAAACAAAATTCGGATAGTTTAACTGCATGAACAAGATAAAGTCTAAACTGATGCAAAGGTTTGGTTTGCTTTTTATTCATTTTGTTATATGTTGTTTCTACTGCATACAACTGAAACAGGAAAGGGAGTTCTTTCATCATAGTTTCAACCATTGATCATCATGCTGTTCCTTCTATGTGTGAAAAATGTAGGAGAGGCAAAACTTTATCCTCTTAGAGTCTCTGGTTAGGCCTGAGAATTAAATTGACACGAGAGAATAACAGGAAAAAAGCATACAAAATTTTAAATGTATATCAGAGCCCCATAAAAAAATGAAAGCCCAAAGAAGTGGCAAAATTTAAATTCTTATGTAGTAGATTGAACAAAGAGTGGCAATTATGGAAGACTAACTAAAATGTATGAAGAGGATAAAGGAAGATAAGAGTTACGTTAACAAGATCTATTTGTATGGATTCTTCTCAGCTGTGACTCCCCATCTGGTGATAAGAATGTTTCTTCTCTCCTGGTACAGGGAAGATAAAGTGTCCCTTTCATATCTGCTATTTTCCAAGAGTCTTTAGCTCAAAGTAATCCTCATGCCAGGTTAGCATATTTGGGGTGCATATTCTACCACCCTTCAAAAGGCATAAAGATATACCACCCTTTTATTTTTTAAATTAAATTACTTTTCCAAAATTACCAAAAATAATACTTCCACCTAAGAACTAGTAAACTAATGCAAAAGTATATGACGAAAGTTAATATATGCTCTCCCCAAACCTTTATCATTGCAATCTCTCTCCCTAATAGATCATTAATATGGTCTTTTCCCTACTCTAAAAGTATACATGTATATATACATATATATGTCCTTTTAGGAAAATGTATTAATACAATAGACATTACTTGTTAACTTGATTTTCTCTCTTAGCAATATATCATTGGCACAACTCAGGTGATACCTAAATAACTCAACCTAAAACATGCTCTGTTTAGATAACAGCCTGCATTTATAACAATGGTGAAGGACATCCTCTGGTCTTCTGGTCCCTTGACCCCTTCACTCTGAATGTATTCTTGTGCTTCATTCTATGTTATCAACCCAGGTCAGGACACCTAGAAGTCCCAGATATCTTCCAGGGAAAGAAACTTCTACAAATTACTTTACTTTTTCATATTTTCTTGCTTTTCATGATTACCCAGTCAAAAGTATATACAGATGCTCCTTAACTTATGATGGGGTTGTGTTCCAATAAACCCATTATAAGTTAAAAATATCATGAGTCAAAAATGTGTTTAATATGCCTAACATACTGAACATCAAAGCTTAGCCTAGCCTACCTTAAATATGCTCAGAACATTTACATTAACCTACTGTGGGTCAAAACCTTCTAATACACAGCCTATTTTATAATAAAATGTTGAATATCTCATATAATGTATTGAATACTGTACTAAAAGTGAAAAACAGAATGGTTGTATGAGTACTTCAAGTATGATTTCCCATTGCTTTTACACCATTGTGAAGTTGAAAATAAGTTGGAGATTGTACTTCTGCTTTACCTTGACTTCTGGCATTTAGAGGACACCTTGTCTTACAGGTTGACTCAGTTCTGAGTACTTGTCTCCTGCTTTCCTCTTCCCCTTCACAGGCTTTCTTTCCTCAGAGTCTATCTAGTGTGTTCGAAGTGTCTGTGCCCATGATGGAGCTGAAAGTTACCTTAGAGCATGGAGGGGCATGTTTTCAGGGCAGCCTTGTCTCAAGAGGGTAGTGTGATATAGACAGATGTGTAGCCATTTTCTCAAAGACTAGCCTATTAGAAGGAACAAACACACACATAGAGGAAGGGAATCATCAACTGTCCCAACCTGACAACACCTGAAGCCAGTTTGGGAACAAATGAAACAACTCCAGAAGAGTAGAAATAGCTATTTGGGCTCAAGTAGCCGCAGATAGATTGACAATTCTTTGATGAGGAATTAGCAGAAATAAGAAGACATCTATTTTGGTCTTTATTCCTGGATTCCTAACACACAGCTCCTAAAACCCTTGGAATGTCAGAAGTGGTAAGTGTCATTCTATAAGCTAATGAGATGACTGATGACTAGGGGCTCCTGAGTATTCTCAGAATGGGAGCTGCATGTCAGGGAAAGATTTGAGAGTTGGAACTTCTGGCTTAACCCCAACTTCCAGGAAGGGAGAGGTGCTAAAGTTTAAGTTAATAACCCATGGCCTATGACTTAATCCATCATGCCTAAATCCATCATGCCTATGTAATGAAGACTCTATAAAAACTCAAAAGGACAAAATTCAGGGCTTCTGAGTCACCCTGCATGTGGAAGTGCTTGAAGAGCGGTGCACCCAGAGAGGACATGGAGGTTCTTGTACCTTCTCCTACACCTTGACCTATGCTTCTCTTTCATCTGGCTGTTCTTGAGTTGTGTCATTTTATAATATATGGATATATGGATAAAAATAGTGAAGTATTTCCCTGAAATCTGTGAGTCATTCTAGAAAATGACTGAACTCCAGGAAAGGGGATTGGGAACCCAGATTTACAACCAAGTCAGACAGAGTTGTGGGTAACCTGGGGACCTACCACTTGTGATTGATATCTGTAATGCAATCCACTGCAAATGCAAGCCTGCAACTGACCCTTATACTTCAACTGCATAAGATTTAGAGGGTAAAAGAAAATGATGCAAATGTGCTCGCATTGTTTACTGTGATATCAGGAATAAATCTTTTAGCTCTGATCCAGGAGTCTCATGTCTTCTGCTAGTGTCCATTAAATAGTAATAAGCTAACTTATTAGCTTATAACTACAGGAAAGTCCCATATTCAACAACAATGATTTCTATAAACATATGCATACATACACAATCATATGTAAAACACATATAATCAATGATTATATTTTTAAGGTCTTGTTTTCTTGATTGCTTTTTATCTATCTTATGTTTTACCTCATCTAATGATAAAAGTACATAAAAAATGTATATTTAAAATGGCGTTTAATCAAATTGTCCTTGGATTTGGCTTTCAATATTTTATCGCTAGATTTTTTTAATCTACAATGGTCTATGAATCTATTATCTCTTTTGTGAGTGTATAATTTAATACTAAATAACAATCCATATTATCTTCCTCAACACTTTTTTGTCAAATTTTTTATCATTAATCTTTCCCCTCCAGAATTATTTTTGTTTGCATTCTCCTAGCATAATTTACTTTTATTTTAAAACTCCTCTTTTTACACTTACTTAAATGTGTTTCTTATAACAATTATTTTACTAGACTTTTAAAAATCAAGATTAATGGTCTCTATTTTTAGCATTCATGCTGAGTAAGTTATTTATATTATTACTTTATCATTTTTAAATTAATTTTATCCTAACTTCCCTCCTATTTTAATATCAATTTTTTTTTTTTACATTTTGTGGCTTGATTAAATTTATTTTTATTGCTTTTTCCCATGTTAGTTTGGAAATTTCTGCTAGCTTTTTATTTCTGCAAATGATTACATTTACATTTCCCATAATCATATCTAGAATGAAATTTTTCTAATAATTATTTGAAAATAAAATAAAAATACCTTTTCAATTAAGATTCTTTATTTACCTACTTCTTTCCAAACCTACTAGTAAAAAATCTTTATTTTCTTTCTCCATTTTGTCACCCTTCCCTCCCAAGTGTTCATCCTTAAAGGTTTAGCTAAGTCGATTCTCAATTCTAGGTTTTCGAGATTTATATTTAGAGTGTACTCTGATGTTTCAAAAATCTTTATCCTCAAAAGCAAAAAGTCTAGTCACATTATTATCATCCCTGTACATTTAACATTGACGATGAGAACACATGGACACATGGTGGGGAACAATACAAACCGGGTCCTGTGGAGGGTTGGGGGTTGGGAATAGGGAGAGGATCAGGAAGAATAGCTAATGGATGCTGGGCTTAATACCTGGGTCATGGGATGATCTATGCAGCAAACCACCATGGCATACGTTTACCTATGTAACAAAACTGCACATCCTGCACACGTATCCCGGAACTTAAAATTAAAGTTGGAAATTAAATAAATAAATAAATGTAACACTGACTATTCAAGTAAAATAGTCAAGGTTTACTATTGGCTACTAAATTTATGTTTGTTTAGAGTAATCCTTCAACTATTTTCCATAGATAAGGTGGTTTTTCTATTAATTTGTGCTCATCTTTCTTTTGCACTGTTTCATGAGTGATTTTTTTAAGCAAAAGCCAATATATTTAATGTTGAATCTGAAACTAGATTCTATGGCTTCCTGTGGCACTTTGAACTGCACCTCAGTTTCTTCATTTGTAAATTGGGGAAAATAAAATGAGCTATCTCAAAGAGTTAATATGTAGCACATGAAACACATTAAAAAATGCTTGCATATTTAAAACACATAGAATGTCAGCTTATCTTGACTAGGTATATAATTTTTTTAAGATAAATATTTTCTAACAGTAGTCTGCAGATATTGTACCATCATATAGTTTCCAAAGTCATAGAAGAGAATTATCATAATAAATTGATTCTTTTTTGAACTGTACTATTTCAAACACTCTATTTTTATCTAGAATTCAGGATTTAAGAAGGGCTGTGGGTTTTTAAAATTATTCTTACCTTGGGTTTGGAAAGTCCTTAAGCATTACAGATCTATGTCTCTAAGACAGATATGCCTTGTATTATTTAAATAGATGAATCACATACAATTTTTCTGTTTAAATTCAAATGTACTTGGTGTGTATTTTTAATTATTACTTTGTCATTCATTTTTAATCTAATTTCTAATTGACTGGAAAATACAATCTGTGTTACATTGATTGTTTTAATGTTAATATTTCTCTATAGATTAGTATGGAATATATATTATACATATTCTTTATATATTTATTAGGTCAAACTTATCTATTGTGCTTTAATGTCATCAAGGATTACTATTTAAAAATTTTTGATTACTAAATTTCTGATTTTCTTTATATTTAATGAATATATGATTTTTAGTCACAGATATATTTGGGATATATATTTTTTATTTTATTTTTATTTGGCACAGTAATTTTACATATTTATGACATAGTGAGATTTCAATACACATATACAATGTGCTATGATCAATTCAGGGTAATACCATATCCACCATCTCAAACATTTATCATTTTTTGTGCTTGGAACATTCAAAATCCTCTGTTAGATTTTTGAAAATACACAGTAAATTATTGTTAACTATATTCAGCCTATAGTCCTATAGAGCACTAGAAGTTATTCCTCCTATCTAGCTATAACTTTGTATCCATTAACAAACTTCTCCCTATTCACCCTTCCCCTCTACACTTCCTCATCTCTAATAGCCACAATTCTACTCTATACTTATATGAGCTAAACTGTTTTTAGCTTTCACCTATGAGCAAGAACATGCATTATTGATCAAGCTGGGTCTGACTTATTTCGCTTAACATAATGTGTTCCAGGCTCATTCATGATGCCACAAATAAAAGGGTTTCATTCTCTCCTGGTGTTGGGTGCACACATATTTATAATTGTTATATCTTCTTGCTGAATTGATATCTTTATATTTATAGAATGACCTTTTGTGTCTCTTTTTTACTAACTTAGTGTCTATTTTGTGTGATATAACTACTCATGTACACTTTTGGTTTTATTGGCATGAAATACAATTTTTCAACTCTTTGCTTTCAGCCAATGTGAGGTTTTACAGGTTTAGTGAGTTTGTAGTAAGTAGCATATAATATTGTGTTCTTTTTTAAATACATACAGCCAGTCTATAAATTTAATTAGGAAATTTAATTCATTTATATGCAAGGTTCCTATTGATAAATAAGAATTTTTAATCCTCTTATCTTTTTCATTGTTTTCTGATTGCTTTATATATCCATTTTCCTTTCTCCCTCTATTATCATTTATTTTTGTGGTTTGGTGGTCTTCTGTAGTAATCACATTTTATTCATTTTCCTTTCTCATTTGTGTATCTGCTCCACCAGTGACTTTTATATTCTTGATATTCTTTTGTATTTTCAGGATAAATATTATCCTTCACTTCCAGATGTAGGACTGCCCAAAGTATTTCTTGTAGGGCCAACCTAGTGTTAATAAATTTCCCCAGTTTTCGCTTGTCTGGAAAATACTTTATTTCTCCTTAATTTCTGAAGAATGAATAAATTCCTGGAAACAAACAACCTCCTACAACTGAACAGAAAGAAATTCAAACCCTAAACAGACCAATAACAAGTTTCAAAACTGAATCAGTAATAAAAAGCCCACCAATCAGAAAAATGCCAGGTCCAGATGGATTCACAGCCAAATGCTACAAGACATATAAAGAAGAGCTGGTATCGTTCCTACAGAAACTATTCCAAAAAACTGAGGAGGTGAGATTCATCCATAACTCTTTCTATGAGTCCAGCACCAGCCAGTTGTTAAACCCTGGCAAAGATATAACAAAAAAGAAAACTTCAGGCCAATATTCTTGATGAACATAGAGGCAAAAATCCTCAATAAAATACTAGCAAACTGAATCTTGCAGCCCATCAAAAGACTAATCCACTATGATCAAGAGGGTTTTATACCTGGGATGCAAGGTTGGTTCAACATACATAAATCAATAAATGTTATTCACTACATAAATGGAACTAAAAACAAAAACTACATGGTCATCTCAATAAATGCAGAAAAAGCTTTCAGTTAAATTCAACATGCTTTCATCTAAAAATCCTCAACAAACTAGGCATTGAAGAAACATACCTCAAAATAATAAAAAGCCATCTATAACAAAACCACAGCCAACAATCTGCTGAATGGGCAAAAGCTGGCATTCCCCTGGAGAACCAGAACAAGACAAGTATGTTGACTCATCTCTCCTATTCAACATAATACTGGAAGCCCTAGCCAGAGAAATTAGGTAAGAGAAAGAAATAAAAGACCTCCAGACAGAAAGAAAGGAAGTCAAACTATCTCCGTATGCAGATAATATGATTCCATACCTAGAAAACCCCAAAGTCTATACCCAAAATCTCCTAGATCTGACAGACAACTTCAGCAAAGTTTCAGTATACAAAATCAATGTACAAAAATCAGAAGTATTTTTATGTGCCAACATTTATCATTAAGATGGCTATACTGCACAAAGCCATTTGCAGATTCAATGCTATTCCTATCAAATTAAAACAACATTCTTCACAGAATTAGAAAAAAACTACTTTAAAATTCATATAGAACCAAAAAGACCCCATATAGCCAAGACAATCCTAAGCAAAAAGAACAAAGTTGGAAGCATCACGCCGCCCAACTTCAAACTGTACTACAAGTCTATAGTAACCAAAACAGCAAGGTACTAGTACAAAAACAAACACATAGTCCAATGGAACAGAATAGAGATCTCAGAAATAAGACTGCACATCTACAACCATTAGATCTTCAATAAACCTGACAAAAACAAACAATGAGGAAAGGATTCCCCATTTAATAAATGGCACTGGGAGAACTGGCTAGCCATATGCAGAAAATTGAAACTAGATCCCTTCCTTACACCTAATCCAAATGTATAAGGATGGCTTAAAGACTTAAATGTAAAACCCCAAGCTATCAAAACCCTTGAAGAAAATGTAGGCAATACCATTCATGACATAGGCATGGGCAAAGGTTTCATGACAAAAATGCCAAAACCTATTGCAACAAAAGCCAAAATTGACAAATGGGATCTAACTAAACTAAAGAGCTTCTGTGCAGCAAAACAAACTATCATCAGAGTGAGCTGACAAGCTACAGAATGGGAGAAAAATTTTGCAATCTATCCATCTGACAAAGGTCTAATATCCAGAATCTATAAGGAACTTCAATAAATTTACAAGAAAGAACCAATTAAAAAGTGAGCGAAGGACAGGAACAGACACTTCTCAAAAGAAGACATTTATGCAGCCAACAAACATATGAAAAAAAGCTCAACATCATTAATTATTAGAGAAATGCAAATCAAAACCACATTGAGATACCATCTCATGTCAGTCAGAATGGTGACTATTAAAAATTCAAGAAACAACAGACGCTGGCAATGCTGTGTGGAGAAGTAGAAATGCTTTTTTTTTTTTTTTTTTTTTAAATAATGCTTAAAATTTTAATCTTGTAAATATATTTCCCTTCTCAGTATGAAAATAATTCCGAGTATAATCTTTATTTACTTTCCCCTTTTTATTTTAGAAGAGTAAACATAGCTTTAAGAATTAAAAAAATCAGTTAATAATCTGACTTTTAAGTCAGCTGTAAAAATGTAAGTTTCTGGCTCTGCCACTTTTTAGTAGTGTGACTTTGGGCAAATTGCTCAAAAGCTCCAAATTCTTGTTTCTTTTTTTTTTTTTTTTTAATTTTTTTTTTTTTATTATACTTTAAGTTTTAGGGTACATGTGCACATTGTACAGGTTAGTTACATATGTATACATGTGCCAGGCTGGTGCGCTGTACCCACTAACGTGTCATCTAGCATTAGGTATATCTCCCAATGCTATCCCTCCCCCCTCCCCCGACCCCACCACAGTCCCCAGAGTGTGATATTCCCCTTCCTGTGTCCATGTGATCCCATTGTTCAGTTCCCACCTATGAGTGAGAATATGCAGTGTTTGGTTTTCTGTTCTTGCGATAGTTTACTGAGAATGATGATTTCCAATTTCATCCATGTCCCTACAAAGGACATGAACTCATCATTTTTTATGGCTGCATAGTATTCCATGGTGTATATGTGCCACATTTTCTTAATCCAGTCTATCATTGTTGGACATTTGGGTTGGTTCCAAGTCTTTGCTATTGTGAATAATGCCGCAATAAACATACGTGTGCATGTGTCTTTATAGCAGCATGATTTATAGTCATTTGGGTATATACCCAGTAATGGGATGGCTGGGTCAAATGGTATTTCCAGTTCTAGATCCCTGAGGAATCGCCACACTGACTTCCACAATGGTTGAACTAGTTTACAGTCCCACCAACAGTGTAAAAGTGTTCCTATTTCTCCACATCCTCTCCAGCACCTGTTGTTTCCTGACTTTTTAATGATTGCCATTCTAACTGGTGTGAGATGATATCTCATAGTGGTTTTGATTTGCATTTCTCTGATGGCCAGTGATGATGAGCATTTTTTCATGTGTTTTTTGGCTGCATAAATGTCTTCTTTTGAGAAGTGTCTGTTCATGTCCTTCGCCCACTTTTTGATGGGGTTGTTTGTTTTTTTCTTGTAAATTTGTTTGAGTTCATTGTAGATTCTGGATATTAGCCCTTTGTCAGATGAGTAGGTTCCAAAAATTTTCTCCCATGTTGTAGGTTGCCTGTTCACTCTGATGGTAGTTTCTTTTGCTGTGCAGAAGGTCTTTAGTTTAATTAGATCCCATTTGTCAATTTTGGCTTTTGTTGCCATTGCTTTTGGTGTTTTGGACATGAAGTCCTTGCCCACGCCTATGTCCTGAATGGTAATGCCTAGGTTTTCTTCTAGGGTTTTTATGGTTTTAGGTCTAACGTTTAAATCTTTAATCCATCTTGAATTGATTTTTGTATAAGGTGTAAGGAAGGGATCCAGTTTCAGCTTTCTACATATGGCTAGCCAGTTTTCCCAGCACCATTTATTAAATAGGGAATCCTTTCCCCATTGCTTGTTTTTCTCAGGTTTGTCAAAGATCAGATAGTTGTAGATATGCGGCATTATTTCTGAGGGCTCTGTTCTGTTCCATTGATCTATATCTCTGTTTTGGTACCAGTACCATGCTGTTTTGGTTACTGTAGCCTTGTAGTATAGTTTGAAGTCAGGTAGTGTGATGCCTCCAGCTTTGTTCTTTTGGCTTAGGATTGACTTGGCGATGCGGGCTCTTTTTTGATTCCATATGAACTTTAAAGTAGTTTTTTCCAATTCTGTGAAGAAAGTCATTGGTAGCTTGACGGGGATGGCATTGAATCTGTAAATTACCTTGGGCAGTATGGCCATTTTCACGATATTGATTCTTCCTACCCATGAGCATGGAATGTTCTTCCATTTGTTTGTGTCCTCTTTTATTTCCTTGAGCAGTGGTTTGTAGTTCTCCTTGAAGAGGTCCTTCACATCCCTTGTAAGTTGGATTCCTAGGTATTTTATTCTCTTTGAAGCAATTGTGAATGGGAGTTCACTCATGATTTGGCTCTCTGTTTGTCTGTTGTTGGTGTATAAGAATGCTTGTGATTTTTGTACATTGATTTTGTATCCTGAGACTTTGCTGAAGTTGCTTATCAGCTTAAGGAGATTTTGGGCTGAGACAATGGGGTTTTCTAGATATACAATCATGTCGTCTGCAAACAGGGACAATTTGACTTTCTCTTTTCCTAATTGAATACCCTTTATTTCCTTCTCCTGCCTGATTGCCCTGGCCAGAACTTCCAACACTATGTTGAATAGGAGTGGTGAGAGAGGGCATCCCTGTCTTGTGCCAGTTTTCAAAGGGAATGCTTCCAGTTTTTGCCCATTCAGTATGATATTGGCTGTGGGTTTGTCATAGATAGCTCTTATTATTTTGAGATACGTCCCATCAATACCTAATTTATTGAGAGTTTTTAGCATGAAGGGTTGTTGAATTTTGACATAGGCTTTTTCTGCATCTATTGAGATAATCATGTGGTTTTTGTATTTGGCTCTGTTTATATGCTGGATTACATTTACTGATTTGCGTATATTGAACCAGCCTTGCATCCCAGGGATGAAGCCCACTTGATCATGGTGGATAAGCTTTTTGATGTGCTGCTGGATTCGGTTTGCCAGTATTTATTGAGGATTTTTGCATCAATGTTCATCAAGGATATTGGTCTAAAATTCTCTTTTTTGGTTGTGTCTCTGCCCGGCTTTGGTATCAGAATGATGCTGGCCTCATAAAATGAGTTAGGGAGGATTCCCTCTTTTTCTATTGATTGGAATAGTTTCAGAAGGAATGGTACCAGTTCCTCCTTGTACCTCTGGTAGAATTCGGCTGTGAATCCATCTGGTCCTGGACTCTTTTTGGTTGGTAAACTATTGATTATTGCCACAATTTCAGAGCCTGTTATTGGTCTATTCAGAGATTCAACTTCTTCCTGGTTTAGTCTTGGGAGAGTGTATGTGTTGAGGAATTTATCCATTTCTTCTAGATTTTCTAGTTTATTTGTGTAGAGGTGTTTGTAGTATTCTCTGATGGTAGTTTGTATTTCTGTGGGATCGGTGGTGATATCCCCTTTATCATTTTTTATTGTGTCTATTTGATTCTTCTCTCTTTTTTTCTTTATTAGTCTGCTAGCGGTCTATCAATTTTGTTGATCCTTTCAAAAAACCAGCTCCTGGATTCATTGATTTTTTGAAGGGTTTTTTGTGTCTCTATTTCCTTCAGTTCTGCTCTGATTTTAGTTATTTCTTGCCTTCTGCTAGCTTTTGAATGTGTTTGCTCTTGCTTTTCTAGTTCTTTTAATTGTGATGTTAGGGTGTCAATTTTGGATCTTTCCTGCTTTCTCTTGTGGGCATTTAGTGCTATAAATTTCCCTCTACACACTGCTTTGAATGCGTCCCAGGGATTCTGGTATGTGGTGTCTTTGTTCTCTTTGGTTTCAAAGAACATCTTTATTTCTGCCTTCATTTCGTTATGTACCCAGTAGTCATTCAGGAGCAGGTTGTTCAGTTTCCATGTAGTTGAGCGGCTTTGAGTGAGATTCTTAATCCTGAGTTCTAGTTTGATTGCACTGTGGTCTGAGAGATAGTTTGTTATAATTTCTGTTCTTTTACATTTGCTGAGGAGAGCTTTACTTCCAACTATGTGGTCAATTTTGGAATAGGTGTGGTGTGGTGCTGAAAAAAATGTATATTCTGTTGATTTGGGGTGGAGAGTTCTGTAGATGTCTATTAGGTCCGCTTGGTGCAGAGCTGAGTTCAATTCCTGGGTATCCTTGTTGACTTTCTGTCTCATGGATCTGTCTAATGTTGACAGTGGGGTGTTAAAGTCTCCCATTATTAATGTGTGGGAGTCTAAGTCTCTTTGTAGGTCACTCAGGACTTGCTTTATGAATCTGGGTGCTCCTGTATTGGGTGCATAAATATTTAGGATAGTTAGCTCCTCTTGTTGAATTGATCCCTTTACCATTATGTAATGGCCTTCTTTGTCTCTTTTGATCTTTGTTGGTTTAAAGTCTGTTTTATCAGAGACTAGGATTGCAACCCCTGCCTTTTTTTGTTTTCCATTGGCTTGGTAGATCTTCCTCCATCCTTTTATTTTGAGCCTATGTGTGTCTCTGCACGTGAGATGGGTTTCCTGAATACAGCACACTGATGGGTCTTGACTCTTTATCCAACTTGCCAGTCTGTGTCTTTTAATTGCAGAATTTAGTCCATTTATATTTAAAGTTAATATTGTTATGTGTGAATTTGATCCTGTCATTATGATGTTAGCTGGTGATTTTGCTCGTTAGTTGATGCAGTTTATTCCTAGTCTCGATGGTCTTTACATTTTGGCATGATTTTGCAGCGGCTGGTACCGGTTGTTCCTTTCCATGTTTAGCGCTTCCTTCAGGAGCTCTTTTAGGGCAGGCCTGGTGGTGACAAAATCTCTCAGCATTTGCTTGTCTATAAAGTATTTTATTTCTCCTTCACTTATGAAGCTTAGTTTGGCTGGATATGAAATTCTGGGTTGAAAATTCTTTTCTTTAAGAATGTTGAATATTGGCCCACACTCTCTTCTGGCTTGTAGGGTTTCTGCCGAGAGATCCGCTGTTAGTCTGATGGGCTTTCCTTTGAGGGTAACCCGACCTTTCTCTCTGGCTGCCCTTAACATTTTTTCCTTCATTTCAACTTTGGTGAATCTGACAATTATGTGTCTTGGAGTTGCTCTTCCCGAGGAGTATCTTTGTGGCGTTTTCTGTATTTCCTGAATCTGAACGTTGGCCTGCCTTGCTAGATTGGGGAAGTTCTCCTGGATAATATCCTGCAGTGTTTTCCAACTTGGTTCCATTCTCCACATCACTTTCAGGTACACCAATCAGACGTAGATTTGGTCTTTTCACATAGTCCCATATTTCTTGGAGGCTTTGCTCATTTTCTTTTTATTCTTTTTTCTCTAAACTTCCCTTCTCGCTTCATTTCATTCATTTCATCTTCCATTGCTGATACCCTTTCTTCCAGTTGATCGCATCGGCTCCTGAGGCTTCTGCATTCTTCACGTAGTTCTCGAGCCTTGGTTTTCAGCTCCATCAGCTCCTTTAAGCACTTCTCTGTATTGGTTATTCTAGTTATACATTCTTCTAAATTTTTTTCAAAGTTTTCAACTTCTTTGCCTTTGGTTTGAATGTCCTCCCGTAGCTCAGAGTAATTTGATCGTCTGAAGCCTTCTTCTCTCAGCTCGTCAAAATCATTCTCCATCCAGCTTTGTTCCGTTGCTGGTGAGGAACTGCGTTCCTTTGGAGGAGGAGAGGCACTCTGCGTTTTAGAGTTTCCAGTTTTTCTGTTCTGGTTTTTCCCCATCTTTGTGGTTTTATCTACTTTTGGTCTTTGATGATGGTGATGTACAGATGGGTTTTCGGTGTGGATGTCCTTTCTGGTTGTTAGTTTTCCTTCTAACAGACAGGACCCTCAGCTGCAGGTCTGTTGGAATACCCTGCCGTGTGAGGTGTCAGTGTTCCCCTGCTGGGGGGTGCCTCCCAGTTAGGCTGCTCGGGGGTCAGGGGTCAGGGACCCACTTGAGGAGGCAGTCTGCCCGTTCTCATATCTCCAGCTGCGTGCTGGGAGAACCACTGCTCTCTTCAAAGCTGTCAGACAGGGACATTTAAGTCTGCAGAGGTTACTGCTGTCTTTTTGTTTGTCTGTGCCCTGCCCCCAGAGGTGGAGCCTACAGTGGCAGGCAGGCCTCCTTGAACTGTGGTGGGCTCCACCCAGTTCGAGCTTCCTGGCTGCTTTGTTTACCTAAGCAAGCCTGGGCAATGGCGGGCGCCCCTCCCCCAGCCTCGTTGCCACCTTGCAGTTTGTTCTCAGACTGCTGTGCTAGCAATCAGCGAGATTCCGTGGGCGTAGGACCCTCTGAGCCAGGTGTGGGATATAGTCTCGTGGTGCGCCGTTTTTTAAGCCGGTCTGAAAAGCGCAATATTCGGGTGGGAGTGACCCGATTTCCCAGGTGCGTCTGTCACCCCTTTCTTTGACTCGGAAAGGGAACTCCCTGACCCCTTGCGCTTCCCAGGTGAGGCAATGCCTCGCCCTGCTTCGGCTCATGCACGGTGCGTGCACACACTGGCCTGCGCCCACTGTCTGGCACTCCCTAGTGAGATGAACCCGGTACCTCAGATGGAAATGCAGAAATCACCCGTCTTCTGCGTCGCTCACGCTGGGAGCTGTAGACCGGAGCTGTTCCTATTCGGCCATCTTGGCTCCTCAAGTCCCGTAGAAATGCTTTTACACTGTTGGTGGGAATGTAAATTAGTACAACTATTGTGGAAGACAGTGTAGCAATTCCTCAAAGACCTAGAACCAGAAATACCATTTGACCCATCAATCTCATTACTGGCTATATACCCAAAGGAATATACATCATTATATTATAAAGATTCATGCACGTGTATATTCATTGCAGCAGTATTCATAATAGCAAAGACATGGAATCAACACAAATGCCCATCAATGATAGACTGAATAAAGAAAATGTGGTACATATACACCATTGAATACTATGCTGCCATAAAAAGGAATGAGATCGTGTACTTTGCAGGGACATGGATGGAGCTCAAAGCCCTTATCCTCATCAAACTAACGCAGGAACAGAAAACCAAACATCACATGTTCTCACTGATAAGTGGAAGCTGAACAAGGAGAACACATATACACAGGGAGGGGAACAACACATACTGGGCCCTGTCAGAGTGGGGGGATTGCAGGAGGAGAGAGAGCATCAGAATCAATAGCTAATGCAGGTGACGCTTAATACCTAAGTGATGGGTTGATAGGTGCAGCAAACCACGATGGCACACGTTTACCTGTGTAACAAACCTGTACATGCTACACATGTATCCCAGAACTTAAAAGAAAGTAAATGTCTAGTTGAGTCCAACAAGGACTATACTGAATTTCTAATTCAGAGGATGACCTGTTTTCCTGATTTCTTTATATTGTTTATATGTGTTCTCTTGTATCTCACTGAGTTTCCTTAATATTATTACTTTTAATTCAATTTCAGTCATTTTATTTATTTCCTTCTTTGGGGGTTCTGTTACTGGAGAATTTTTGTGTTCCTTTGGATGTGTCACATTTCCTTGCTTTATCATGTTTCTGTGTCCCTGCTTTGATATCTGCAAATTAAAAGTCACTTCTTTTAATTTTATGAAGTAGCTTTTATATGGAAAGACATTTTCCTGCAGATATATCTAGAGTGTCAGTTGGGTAGGGTGCTTTGGCTTTGGTTCAAGGTAGGCACAGTCGTGCATTCTCAATATGAGGGTTTTTTTTTTATTTTATTTTTTGGCTGTTGTCAACATCAGTGTTGCCTGCAAGTTCCCCAGTGGCTTAGACTGCAATTGTTTGTGGAGGCTGTGGGGTGGTCTTCCTTGCATGAGGATTCTGAGCAGGCCAGTCTTTCGGCCCTTAGGAAGCACATGCGGTTGCACGACAGCCCCATCACTGAAGTGAACAGTGGGTCTCAGGTGTACTGTTTTTCAGGCCCCAGGGTGGCACATGCAAACCAATCATGATGGCAGCAGGCCCCATTGAGAACTGATCCTTGAGTCCCTGGCTAGTACACACTGGCATGCAGTGGTTCCACCTCTGCAAAGGATGGGGTCAATAGCAGTAATCTGGGTATCATTTTGTCTCTCTGTGTCCTGGGAGAAGCCTCTCTGATGTGCTGGACTGTCCATTTCCTGGGGCATAGGGCGCTACCTGAGCTTGAGCGACAGAGACATGACTGCACTATGGGTCTAGCTGGTATTACAACACTGCAACCCTCTTGGTAGATGCCAGAGGATGTCAATGGGGCTTCAAAGATGTAGAGATGCAAGGGCTATTGTCCTGAGGGTAGGGTATAGTTTGACTGTGGCTGCATTCTCAGAAATGGCACCATGCTGCAGCAGTCTGAGTCTTCAGAGGTTGAGGGGGACCCAGCATGGATTCTCTGCCTGGCACAATGCAGCCAATGAAGTCTAGCAGCTCCCTGTGATAAGCTAAGGGCATATGAGGACTGAGTGGTTCTTCTGTGGTCAGAATCACAAGTATCTGGGATGGCAATGTGAACTGCTGGGGATCTTTTGCTTACCCCTGCCCCACAATGGGGACCCCTCTTTTCTCTGAGCTGATCCCTGCTGGCTGCCTTCCTTCTCTCTCCATGCTGCCATCTCAAGTTTCCATGCCTCAGAGGGTCTATGTCACTTTCTTGCTCAATTCCAGTGTTCTTTTCTTTCTCTTCTCTTCTCTTCTCTTCTCTTCTCTTCTCTTCTCTTCTCTTCTCTTTTCTTTTCTTTTTCTTTTTGGCAGCAGGGGGCTTGTGTGTGTGTGAAAAGGAACTTTACTAAGAAACCGAAAGGAAATGAAGTAGGACCACTGAAGCCAGAGGCTGGAGGAGGCCACAGGGATAGGGTCAGCAGCTGCTGTCCCTGCAGGAAACCCCTTCTCTGGCTTTGGGAGCCCCTCTATGCACTCCAGGGGCCTGAAGCCCCAAACAATCCTATGGCCTTGCCTCAGAGCACTTCCCTGTGCCTTGACTCTGCAGGGACGGGGGCTGTGGATGGACAGCAGGAGGGGTGAGTGGAGGGAAAGAGGGCCTGGGTGAGGCTTGGGGGACTGGGATGCAAGGCACTTGGACCTCAGGGCTGGAAGGGTCAGACCAAGTCTGGGGAGTTGGGTCGTGGGCTGGTGTTTGGCTGGAGTGTGTCCTGGACTGAGCACTGGGCATTGGGTCCTCCTTGTGTTCTGGTGATTGCAGTCAGAATGGGAGTGACCCCAAGACCTAGGGGCCTGGAATGAGCTCAGAGCGGCTAGCAGCCACCCCACCTCGATGACTCTGTGGAAGGGATGTTCTGTTTCACATTTGGTTATCTATTTGTTGTTTTAGCATTCTTTGTTGAGGCGGTGAGTGCTGGGTGCCTCTGATCAGTGACCTTCTTAGGAGTATTTTTCTACTTTTTACTTTTTTCATTATATAGTACCTTTTTCAGCATAAATGTTTTCCATTTTAAATTCTACTTCATTAGATATTGATATTCTAGTGCTAGCTTCATTCTTTTAGCATTCTCTTATTTTCTACATTTTCTGTACAGATTTTTGTTTTGGTGTCTCAATACAACCTTCCTATTAACTATTTATTTCTTTAACTAAGTCCAGTAAAACAACTATTCTATGGCTTTACTGCCTAACCTTTGTCTTTATTTATTTATTGCCTATCCTTCACAAAACTAACATTCCTCTACTCACTCTGGAACTTTAGTTTGAACAGTTATCTCCAGTAGTGTGCTTCTGTTTTAAATGTTTCTGTGAACGTAGACATGGATGTGCTTTTTTCTCTCTCCCTATGCATGAGCTTTCCAGTTTCTTGGTTTGACAATTCTTCATCTAGCCTAACATGGTCCCCAGTTCAGATCTAGGTCTAATATTGGTACCTTGAGGGTATTCATCTATAAAATAAGGCAGGTTCCCTCAAGAACCCTGATATGGCCTTGCCCAGATTCTGTTATGTGGCACCCTGTTTCTGTTTCCTCATGCCAGCCCTAGAAGTAGATCAATGGGGGCCACGACACTCTGTAGTGGTTCAGTTTGTTTTATCCTACCAGCCTGAGTACCGAAGCTCCTCAAGTCCTGGTTTCAGGAGCTGAGTGTGGCTTTATGGTGGGGTGTCTCCCACCATATCAGAGGAGCTTTTGTCCCTGTTAACAAAATAGGAATAGAATCTTGATAATCGATGGCCATTTATGCCCCAGGTCCAGGTACTTTTTGATTCCTGCTGCAGGTTTTCTTTTGTTCCTTTTTCACAGAAATGTTTATATTGTTTTAAAACATGACCATATTTTCAATATTAAAAAATTCCAGTAAAAATGGGTTTTTAAGCATTAAAAGTTACAAAGTTAAATAGGAGGGCTCAATTAACTGACATTCTACCTTTAAGGCATATATTTATAAATGTCTGTCATCCTTTCTTCCTTGCCCTTGAGTAGTCAATGAACCAAACCCAGTTTGAATATCTAAAAGATGCTTTGGTGTTATTTATTCTAATACCTTGCTGTCTTAAAGCATATCTTCATTCAGAATACAAATATATGACAACTTATGCCACATACTTTTTATTTTCTGCTTCAAAAGGTGTATTCTTACATACCATAGCATCTAGGAAAGATGATAGTAACCGCAGTTGTTTGTTATTAGGCAAAATAAAGATAGGCAGTTATCCAAAAGCTTTGTCACTATAGGCAGATTTGATCATTAAGATTAATGTATTTTGTAAAGAATACAATTTTATCACAGTGTTTAACCATCCAAGTCTTTAATAGGGAGAATATTAATGCTTACTATAGTAACAGAGGGGATGAATCTGAGCCAGGCCACAGTAGTCACTTCATCTACTTTCTTTTTACTTATCCATAGTCATTCTCTCCATTTTGAGTTACAGCCAATTTATTTTATAACTTATCAAAAAATAAAAGGGTTACCTACAAAGATTGGGTACTACCTCAAAAGTGAATCCAAATTTCTTGCCACTTAGAACCTCTATGAAGATTATGAAGCAAAATTATGCATTGAATCACTGTATTGAAACATCTCATGTAACCCATAAATATATACACCTACTATGTACCTACAAAAATTAAAATGAAAAGTTTAAAAATAAATAAAACCTTAAAATAATATCTGATCTTCAGCTATAAAAATTCATTTAGTAAGCTGAAATGTTACATTTTATCTTTAAAAATTTATTTCTGAAGTCACTGCATGAAAGTATTTTTCAGATAAAATAAGATATTGTTTTGAAGGACACAAGAAACTAGAATAATATTTGGCAAACAATAATTTATTAATTTATAACTTGTAAAGCATTATAGTAGAGTGTATTGAGGAGAGTCTTGCAACCAACACTGCCAGGTCATTTCCTGGTTCTCCCACTTAGCAGTATGACCCTGAGCAAGTTACTGACACACCATGAATAGAGCTCTCTGGGTGAGTGGCAGGCAGTTCCTAAACATTTTTTAAATTGAAATTATCCCAAAATATATATTTTTCAGAAATATATGGGACAAAATCCATTAACATAAAGAGTTACCTACAGTTGTTGGGGGAGGTGCGTGGTACATATGGAGAAACAGGAAAGAAAGCAAATAGAAGCTGGAATTCTCTGCATATACTATGTATGTCAATTTGACTTGGAACCTTAAACACATAAAAATTATATTTTTAAAAATCTATTTAAATATTAAAAGCAAAGTGAAACAAATGAATCAAATTGCATATCAAGTTAGTGGCATACTTGCACAGTGACTTTAAAACACAGGGATTTGACTGTAGCTATGCCCTAACAAGAAAAAGAACTTCAAAAAATATTAAACTACTCTCTGTAGTTTGTTTTTTCTGGTGGCGATGTTAGTTTTATTTTAAGTCTGTCTACTCTGTGTGCGTCTGTGTGTGTGTGTGTGTGCGTGTGCTGTGGGACAAACTGAATAAATAATTGTGTCAGTGTCATTGAGAACTAGAAAAGGGAGTATATAATTGTAAGATGGATGAGTTTAATAACATCTTTCTGGTCCTTAATTTGAATTAGAAGTATTACTAAGAACTCATAACATATTTTCTCTAAAAATATGCATATCTTGTAGCTCAGACCACTGAAAAGTCCATCTAGGCAAAATTTTTCCTAATAAGAATCATAATCCTTAAAGAGTTGTGTGATGCCAAATCTGAGTTAGGAAATGCCCACAGTGAGCATGCTATGTGTCACAGCAGAAAACAAGAAAGCCATCAAAACTGCGTTTCAAATGGATTTAAGAGCTAAACCTTATATTTTTCCTTTATAAAAATTGCAAAAAAATCTATTCTATAGAAAAGCACACTTTTCAATTAATAAAATTGCTTTCATAATATTTTAGTGTAAATCCATTTTTTTTCTAAATTAATCTTTATATTATTTTTTCAAATTACATGATATTTTTCCTCTAATGTTTAAAGGGTTTATCTCTAAAATATAACTATGTTTTATAATAATTTACACAAATTTAGGAATAGACTATGCATGTGTGTGTGTGTGTGTGTGTGTGTGTGTTATACACGAGAAGATAGGTCTCTGAGTAGTGTTTAGAAAAGCAATACAACAACATTGGCGAGGTGGAGCCAAGATGGCCAAATAGGAACAGCTCCAGTCCATAGTTCCCAGTGTGAGCGATGCAGAAGATGGCTGATTTCTGCATTTCCAACTGAGGCACCGGGTTCGTCTCACTGGGGAGTGTCAGACAGTGGGTGCAGGACAGTGGGTGCAGTGCACCGAGCATGAGCTGAAGCAGGGTGAGGCATCACCTCACCCGGGAAGCACAAGGGGTCAGGGAATTCCCTTTCCTAGTCAAAGAAAGGGGTGACAGACGGCACCTGGAAAATTGGGTCACTCCCACCCTAATACTGCGCTTTTCCAATGGTCTTAGCAAACAGCACACCAGGAGACTACATCCTGTGCCTAGCTTGGAGGATCCTATGCCCACAGAGCCTCTCTCATTGCTAGCACAGCAGTCTGAGATCAAACTGCAAGGTGGCAGCGAGGCTGGGGGAGGGGTTCCCGCCATTGCCTAGGCTTGAGTAGGCAAACAAATTTTTGCAATCTACTCATCTGACAAAGGGCTAATATCCAGAATCTACAATGAACTCAAACAAATTTATAAGAAAAAAAAAACCCATCAAAAATTGGGCAAAGGATATGAACAGACACTTCTCAAAAGAAGACATTTATGCATCCAAAAGACACATGAAAAAACATTCATCATCATTGGCCATCAGAGAATTGCAAATCAAAACCACAATGAGATACCATCTCACACCAGTTGGAATGGCGCTCATTAAAAAGTCAGGAAACAACAGGTGCTGGAGAGGATGTGGAGAAATAGGAATAATTTTACACTGTTGGTGGGACTGTAAACTAGTTCAACCATTGTGGAAGTCAGTGTGGCAATTCCTCAGGGATCTAGAACTAGAAATACCATTTGACCCAGCCATCCCATTACTGGGTATATACCCAAAGGATTATAAAACATGCTGCTATAAAGACACACGCACACCTATGTTTATTGTGGCACTATTCACAATACCAAAGACTTGGAACCAACCCAAATGTCCAACAATGATAGACTGGATTAAGAAAATGTGGCACATATACACCATGGAATACTATGCAGCCATAAAAACTGATGAGCTCATGTCCTTTTTAGGGACATGGATGAAGCTGGAAACCATCATTCTCAGCAAACTATGGCAAGGACAAAAAACCAAACACTGCATGTTCTCACTCATAGGTGGGAATTGAACAATGAGAACACACGGACACAGGAAGTGGAACATCACACACCAGGGCCTGTTGTGGCATGGGGGAGGGGGGAGGGATAACATTAGGAGATACGCCTAATGTTAAATGATGAGTTAATGGTGCAGCACACCAACATGGCACATATATAAATACATATGTAACAAACCTGCACGTTGTGCACATGTACCCTAAAACTTAAAGTATAATAAAAAACAAACAAACAAACAAACAAAAAACAGCTCCTGGATTCATTGATTTTTTGAAGGGTTTTTTGTATCTCTATTTCCCTCAGTTCTGCTCTGATCTTAGTTATTTATTGCTTTCTGCTAGCTTTTGAATGTGTTTGCTCTTGCTTCTCTAGTTCTTTTAATTATGATGTTAGGGTGTCAATTTTAGATCTTTCCTGCTTTCTCTTGTGGGCATTTAGTGCTATAAATTGGCCTCTACACACTGCTTTGAATGTGTCCCAGAGATTCTGGTATGTTGTGTCTTTGTTCTCATTGGTTTCAAAGAACATCTTTATTTCTGCCTTCATTTCGTTATCTACCCAGTAGTCATTTAGGAGCAGGTTGTTCAGTTTCCATGTAGTTGAGTGGTTTTGAGTGAGTTTCTTAATCCTGAGTTCTAGTTTGATTGCACTGTGGTCTGAGAGACAGTTTGTTATAATTTCTATTGTTTTACATTTGCTGAGGAGTGCTTTACTTCAAACTATGTGACCAATTTTGGAATAGGTGTGGTGCAGAAAATAATGTATATTCTGTTGATTTGGGGTGGAGAGTTCTGTAGATGTCTATTAGGTCCGCTTGCTGGAGAGCTGAGTTCAGTTCCTGGATATCCTTGTTAACTTTCTGTCTCATGGATCTGTCTAATGTTGACAGTGGGGTATTGAAGTCTCCCATTATTATTGTGTGGGAGTCTAAGTCTCTTTGTAGGTCTCCAAGGACTTGCTTTATGAATCTGGGTGCTCTTCTATTGGGTGCATATATATTTAGGATAGTTAGCTCTTCTTGTTGAATTGATCCCTTTACAATTATGTAATGGCCTTCTTTGTCTCTTTTGATCTTTGTTGGTTTAAAGTCTGTTTTATCAGAGACTAGGATTGCAACCCCTGCCTTTTTTTGTTTTCCATTTGCTTGGGAGATCTTCCTCCATCCCTTTATTTTGAGCCTCTGTGTGTCCCTGCATGTGAGATGGGTTTCCTGAATACAGCACACTGATGGGTCTTGACTCTTTATCCAATTTGCCAGTCTGTGTCTTTTAATTGGAGCATTTAGCCCATTTACATTTAAGGTGAATATTGTTATGTGTGAATTTGATCCTGTCATTATGATGTTAGCTGGTTATTTTGCTTGTTAGTTGATGCAGTTTCTTCCTAGCCTCAATGGTCTTTACAATTTGGCATGTTTTTGCAGTGGCTGGTAGTGGTTGTTCCTTTCCATGTTTAGTGCTTCCTTCAGGAGCTCTTGTAGGGCAGGCCTGGTGGTAACAAAATCTCTCAGCATTTGTTTGTCTGTAAAGGATTTTATTTCTCCTTCACTCATGAAGCTTAGTTTGGCTGGATATGAAATTCTGGGTTGAAAATTCTTTTCTTTGAGAATGTTGAATATTGGCCCCCACTCTCTTCTGGCTTTTAGAGTTTCCGCCAAGAGATCAGCTGTTAGTCTGATGGGCTTCCCTTTGTGGGTAACCCGACCTTTCTCTCTGGCTGCCCTTAACATTTTTTCCTTCATTTCAACTTTGGTGACTCTGACAGTTATGTGTCTTGGAGTTGCTCTTCTGGTGGAGTATCTTTGTGGCGTTCTCTGTATTTCCTGAATTTGAATGTTGGCCTGCCTTGCTAGATTGGGGAAGTTCTCCTAGATAATACCCTGCAGAGTGTTTTCCAACTTGGTTCCATTCTCCCTCTCACTTTCAGGTACACCACTCAGACGTAGATTTGGTCTTTTCACATAGTCCCATATTTCCTGGAGGCTCTGTTCATTTCTTTTTATTCTTTTTTCTCTAAACTTCTCTTCTCACTTCATTCAATTCATTTGATCTTCCATCACTGATACCCTTTCTACTGAGGCTTGTGCATTTGTCACGTATTTTTCATGCCATGGTTTTCAGCTCCGTCAGGTCTTTAAGGACTTCTCTGCATTGGTTATTCTAGTTAGCCATTCATCTAATCTTTTTTCAAGGTTTTTAACTTCTTTGCCGTGGGTTCGAACTTCCTCCTTTAGCTTGGAGTAGTTTGATTGTCTGAAGCCTTCTTCTCTCAACTCATCAAAGTCATTCTCCATCCAGCTTTGTTCCATTGCTGGTGAGGAGCTGCGTTCCTTTGGAGGAGGAGAGGTGCTCTGATTTTTAGAGTTTCCAGTTTTTCTGCTCTGTTTTTTTTTCCCATCTTTGTGGTTTTATCTACTTTTGGTCTTTGATGTTGGTGATGTACAGATGCGGTTTTGGTGTGGATGTCCTTTCTGTTTGTTAGTTTTCCTTCTAACAGTCAGGACCCTCAGAGGCAGGTCTGTTGGAGCTGCTGGAGGTCCTCTCCAGACCCTGTTTGCCTGTGTATCAGCATCAGAGGCTGCAAGTGGATATTGGTGAACATCGAATGTTGCTGCTTGTTCTTTCCTCTGGAAGTTTTGTCACAGAGGAGTACCGGCCATGTGAGGTATCAGTCTGCCCCTACTGGGGTGTGCCTCCCAGTTAGGCTTCTCAGGGGTCAGGGACCCACTTGAGGAGGCAGTCTGTCCGTTCTCAGATCTCCAGCTGCATCCTGGGAGAACCACTACTCTCTTCAAAGCTGTCAGACAGGGACATTTAAGTCTGCAGAGGTTTCTGCTGCTTTTCGTTTGGCCATGCCCTGTCCCCAGAGGTGGAGTCTACAGAGGCCAGCAGGCCTCCTTGAGCTGTGGTGGGGTCCACCCAGTTTGACCTTCCTGGCCACTTTGTTTAGCTACTCAAGCCTCAGCAATGGCAGGCGTCCCTCCCCCAGCCTCGCTGCTGCCTTGCAGTTTGATCTCAGACTGCTGTGCTACCAAAGAGCGAGACTCCACGGGCATAGGACACTCCAAGCCAGGCACAGGATATAATCTCCTGGTGTGCCATTTGCTAAGATCATCGGAAAAGCACAGCATTAGGGTGGGAGTGACCTGATTTTCCAGGTGCTGTCCATCACCCCTTTCCTTGGGTAGGGAAGGGAAGTCCCCGATCCCTTGAACTTCCAGATGAGGCGATGTCTCACTCTTCTTTGGCTCAGGCTCGGTGCATTGCACCCACTGTCCTGCACCCACTGTCTGACAATCCCCAGTGAGATGCACCCGGTACCTCAGTTGGAAATGCAGAAATCATTCGTCTTATGTGTTGTTCATGCTGGGAGCTGTAGACTGGAGCTGTCCCTGTTTGGCCCTAGGAGCTCATTTTTTGAAAAGATCAATGAAATTGATAGACTGCTAGCAAGACTAATGAAGAAAAGAGAGAAGAATCAAACAGATGCAATAAAAAATGATAAAGGGGATATCACCACCGATGCCACAGAAATACAAACTACCATCACAGAATACTATATACACCTCTACACAAATAAACTAGAAAATCTGGAAGAAATGGATAAATTCCTCGACACACACACCCTCCCAAGACTAAACCAGGAAGAAGTTGAATCTCTGAATAGACCAATAACAGGCTCTGAAATTGAGGCAATAATTAATAGCTTACCAACCAAAAAAAGTCCAGGACCAAATGGATTCACAGCTGAATTCGACCAGAGGTACAAGGAGGAGCTGGTACGATTTCTTCTGAAAATATTCCAATCAATAGAAAAAGAGGGAATCCTCCCTAACTCATTTTATGAGGCTAGCATCATCCTGATAACAAAGCCGGGCAGACAACACAAAAAAGATTTTAGACCAATATCCCTGATGAACATTGATGCAAAAATCCTCAATAAAATACTGGCAAACCGAATCCAGCAGCACACCAAAAAGCTTATCCACTATGATCAAGTGGGCTTCATCCCTGGCATGCAAGGCTGGTTCAACATACGCAAATCAATAAACATAATCCAGCATATAAACAGAACCAAAGACAAAAAACACATGATTATCACAATAGATGAAGAAAAGGCCTTTGACAAAATTCAACAGCCCTTCATGCTAAAAACTCTCAATAAATTAGGTATGAATGGGACGTATCTCAAAATAATAAGAGCTATTAATGACAAACCCACAGCCAATATCATACTGAATGGGCAAAAACTGGAAGCATTCCCTTGAAAACTGGCACAAGACAGGGGTGCCCTCTCTCACCACTCCTATTCAACATAGTGTTGGAAGTTCTGGCCAGGGCAATCAGGCAAGAGAAGGAAATAAAGGGTATTCAATTAGGAAAAGAGGAAGTCAAATTGTCCCTGTTTGCAGACGACATGATTGTATATCTAGAAAACCCCATTGTCTCAGTCCAAAATCTCCTTAAGCTGATAAGCAACTTCAGCAAAGTCTCAGGATACAAAATCAATGTGCAAAAATCACAAGCATTCTTATACACCAATAACAGACAAACAGAGAGCCAAATCATGAGTGAACTCCCATTCATAATTGCTTCAAAGAGAATAAAATACCTAGGAATCCAATTTACAAGGGATGCGAAGGACTTCTTCAAGGAGAACTACAAACCACTGCTCAATGAAATAAAAGAGGATACAAACAAATGGAAAAACATTCCATGCTCATGGGTAGGAAGAATCACTATCATGAAAATGGCCATACTGCCCAAGGTAATTTACAGATTCAATGCCATCCCCATCAAGTTACCAATGATTTCTTCACAGAATTGGAAAAAACTACTTTAAAGTTCATATGGAACCAAAAAAAGCCTGCATTGCCAGTTAATCCTAAGCCAAAAGAACAAAGCTGGAGGCATATCGCTACCTGACTTCAAACTGTACTACAAGTCTACAGTCACCAAAACAGCATGGTACTGGTACCAAAACAGAGATACAGACCAATGGAACAGAACAGAGCCCTCAGAAATAATGCCACATATCTACAACTATCTGATCTTTGACAAACCTGACAAAAACAAGAAATGGGGAAAGGATTCCCTGTTTAATAAATGGTGCTGGGAAAACTGGCTAGCCATATGTAGAAAGCTGAAACTGGATCCCTTCCTTACACCTTATACAAAAATTAATTCAAGATGTATTAAAGACTTAAATGTTAGACCTAACATTTAAGACCTAACATAAAAACCCTAGAAGAAAACCTAGGCAATACCATTCAGGACATAGGCATGTGCAAGGACTTCATGTCTATAACACCAAAAGCAATGGCAACAAAAGCCAAAATTGACAAATGGGATCTAATTAAAGTAAAGAGCTTCTGCACAGCAAAAGAAACTACCATCAGAGTGAACAGACAACCTACAGAATGGGAGAAAATTTTTGCAACCTACTCATCTGACAAAGGGCTAATATCCAGAATCTACAATGAACCCAAACAGATTTACAAGAAAAAAACAAACAACCCCATCAAAAAGTGGGCAAAGTATATGAACAGACACTTCTCAAAAGAAGACATTTATGCAGCCAAAAGACACGTGAAATAACGCTCATCATCACTGGCCTTCAGAGAAATGCAAATCAAAACCACAATGAGATACCATCTCACACCAGTTAGAATGGCGATCATTAAAAAGTCAGGAATCAACAAGTGCTGGAGAGGATGTGGAGAAATAGGAACACTTTTACACTGTTGGTGGGACTGTAAACTAGTTCAACCATTGTGGAAGTCAGTGTGGCAATTCCTCAGGGATCTAGAACTAGAAATACCATTTGACCCAGCCATCCCATTACTGGGTATATACCCAAAGGATTATAAATCACGCTGCTATAAAGACACATGAACAAGTATGTTTATTGCCACAGTATTCACAATAGCAAAGACTTGGAACCAACCCAAATGTCCAACAATGATAGACTGGATTAAGAAAATGTGGCACATATACACCATGGAATACTATGCAGCCATAAAAATGATGAGTTCATGTCCTTTGTAGGGACATGCATGAAGCTGGAAACCATCATTCTCAGCAAACTATGGCAAGGACAAAAAACCAAACACTGCATGTTCTCACTCCTAGGTGGGAATTGAATAATGAGAACACATGGACACAGGAAGGGGAACATCACACACTGGGGCTTGTTGTGGGGTGGGGGGAGGGGGAGGGATAGCATTAGGAGATATACTTAATGTTAAATGATGAGTTAATTGGTTCAGCACACCAACATGGCATATGTATACATATGTAACAAACCCGCACGTTGTGCACATGTACCCTAAAACTTAAATTATATTTAAAAAAGTAAAGCAATATAGTTGTGAAGCTAGTTGCAATACAGTTGGAAACCTAGTTGCAGTACCCATCTAGAGAAGGATCTACTCTCAACCTCTGAGATCTCAATGAGTGTAAGTGAGCAGGTGCATCTAAAAAATCAGCAGTGAGAGAAGTTGTGCATGTAAATAGACAAGCGGTATGGCTTCTATGAAAACCTTGTAGATTTAAAACCTTTATTTAGTGCTTGCTAAGGATGAGAACTGGTTAAAACTCTAGAGCCTTGCTCTATCAAGAAAAATTTTTTTCTGGAAAGGAGCATCTGACACTTTATATGCAGATAATATTTGTGACAAATATGACTAAACTACAAGATTTTGTTTTTCAATAAAAACATGCAGTTTAGTCTTTTAATGCAAAGCAGTGGTATAAACTTCAAACAACAATTCAGAGATGCAGGCAAAATAATATTTTAAGTATATGTAGCTAATTTGATCATCTTCAGAAGTTTTTGCCATGATTTACTAGAAAAACAAAATAAAACTTTTAATCCTATGTTTCAAATGTGGCTCAATCTTGTAATTGAAAAACTTCTAAAAGACATTGTTCAGTCTGATACAGAAAATAAATTTTCCACTGCTTAGTGTCTTTCTTACATAGCCTCACTCTGCCCTGCTTGTCTCCTCTAAATGGAAAATGGAGGTAGGAAGTAGAGGAAGTTTATTCATCCTCTTCGCAACAAGAGAATCAGGGACCTCTGTCTTCCCATCTCCTCCAGCAATCCCTGGTCCACCTCAGTTGCTCCTTGTGACTGATTCTGTAGCTGCTGTAATTCTGATCTGGTTATGTTCTTTGACAATGAAAGCCAGGTGACTTTCCTAGACACCAGCTGTTGCTGGTGCTATAGGGTCCTGGAACCTGGCTGTGACTTATGTCTCCCAGCTCACATGGTCTGTTGCAGGCACAGAGCCATTTCATACCAACATTGCAGACTTACTTGGAATACTATTTGCCAAAATATCTACAACTCTTTGTCTAAGACCTGAGGAATGAAAAGAGGCAGGGCACTGCTAAGCCTCAAAGTCTCCTGCTGTTATCAACAATGCACCATTGTGGTGGTAATCTCACACCTGAAGCTGATACAGGGTGTGGCTTTGAGATCATATCCTTTGAGTCCTTAAAACTGAGTAGGAAACCAAGCCCTCAACCTTCACATCACCCACACTTATCTAACAGTATTCTGGCATCTTGGATGGAGCAAAACTGGGACATACATGTGATCACTTTGCTTTTCTGCCTTTTAAAAATCTCTGTTGTGGGCAATGTCTTTCCTTGTTCCATCTGGCACTTGATGACATCATTCTTGAAGAAACCAAAAATGAAGGTCAGTCACTCTGTTTATTAGGAACAGAACCAAATAAAAACAAATGTCAGTCTATTGCTCTTGCATTCAAATTCTCTTTCGGTCAGATGCCTTAATCATGGACACCAGTCTCTTTAAACTCCGATAGAGACATAAAAAATGGGAGGGAGATCTCTTTAGATGGTACCTGTCTTAGTCAATTTTTTGCTGCTATAAAAAATATACTCCTGCTTAAACAGCAAACATTCATTTCTTACAGTTCTGGAGGCTGGGAATTCCAAGACCAAGGTGCCAGAAGATCTGGAGGTGTCTGGTGAGGACTTGTTTCCTGGTTTGCAGATGGTTGTCTTCTCACATGGCAGACAGCAGAGAGAGATAAAACAAGCTCTGTTTGTTTCTTTTTATAAAGGCACTAATCCCATTTATGAGGGTTCCACCCAAGACCTAATCACCTCCTAAAGGCCCATACCATTATATTGGGGATGAGAGTATTAACACATGAACCTTTGGGGAAACAGAAACATTCAGTCCCATACCAGTATGCTAGCTTGAAAATCTCTTATCCAGTCTTATAACCCAGATTTGAATATGAAAATCACATTTCACTAGGTTTTATTTTGTCTATTGTTTATTTTGTACTAAAGTTCTCTGCTCTGGCACATGGATACCTTGAGGGGACTAAAATAAGAGAAGGCAAAAAGAGGAAAGCACAGAAAACCATTACTCCTTTACTCTTTTTTATGATAATAGACAGTATTTTGGTAGCATTTGTTAGGTACAGCAAGGGGAGTGATGGTTCAGTATTTCATTATGATAATTTGGAGTTTCCATCTTTTTTTTTGCTACAGTGATTTATGAGTAGATTTTCAGACAATAAGAGGCTGTTGTTTGTCTCTTGCTTTTTTATTAGCACACAGCATTACAGTCCTTCAATGGCTAAAATGCTTTCCCCATAACTAAATATTTTATTTGGTTATATTAAAATTTTCTATTTAGCATATTGCAGGGAAATGACATAAATTAGAGAACTATGGAAATTTTAAAGCTCACAGAGATGCAAGACAATCAGATTTAAGCACTCTCCCACATATTTATCTGTTGTTAGGTAAACAGCACGTAAAAAGTTCAGCATTCTGGATTGTTAGCCAAGATTTTAAAAATGTAAACCTAGAAAATGTTAACAAACTTAAATGATCAGCTAACTATAATGAATTTGAGATTTCTTTTGATATTTTACTATAAATACAGACTACATGGAATGTATGATCGATGCAGTAAGATTAATTGAAAAAAGAATAAAGGAAAATTAATATAAAGTAATTAAAAGTAGTATTGACAAGAATGCACTTGTCTAATTTCTTTTAAGAATATCTCTGTGTTTGCCAATGGCAATGAAAAACAGATTTCAGTTTTCCTAGGTCAGAATGTAAACAAAGTATAATTCTATAAAATGTATGATCATTTATAATTGTGGATGGGTAAAAGATAATATTCTAGGAAGAGTTCCACTCATTCGAAAATGAAGAATTTCAGCAATTAAGTAACTACCGGTTAAGGACGATTGTACATCATAGGTTGATTGTAGCACATTTGCAATAAAAGGAATAACAAGTTATTTTCTATTTTCTTATAAAATATAGAAGAAATACTGTAACAGAACTCTTTGCAGCCTTTGCCAAAGCCACAATTCAAATCACAGACATGAGAAGGAATTGCTAATGAATTTATAGGGATTTTTAAAAATTCCTCTATAACTTTTAATAGAAAACAGCTAAAGTTTCTATTGAAAATGTATTACAATTTTACTTCCAGGCATTTATCTAGGTTATATATTGTATATTTTAATGTGTTCTCAATATAAACTATGTAATAACAACTAGCATTGAATTTGCAAACTCCATTGATTTGGTCAATAAAGCTATTTATTCATTTAGTAAATGACTATTTGCCATAAACAGTACTAAATGCTAGGCCTAGACCTCTGCCCTCAAAGAGTTTATGAAATAATGGCAGTGCCATGTAATGTGAACAGAGCAGTGATTCATTTAAACTAAAGATCTGCTTAAAATGTAGTCTTCAAAATCTGTTACGTAGGTAAGAAAATAATTTAGACTAGCTTAAAAGTTGGTCAAAACCAAATGGGCTACCAAAGCTTTTATAAAAAATAAAAATAAAAGCAAGTATTCAAGTGTGTTCCCTGAAAATCTCTAAGGTATCATATGCAACAGGCAACAGGTACAAAAGGCTCTCAGGAACATATACCACATACATTTCAATGAGATGCCATATTATATTATTTTATTCCCTGAAGGCATAAAATATTACATAAGAATACAAAAACAGCACCTGCCTTCTGCTAGAATCCTACAGGCAATACATTTGAGTCTGACAGACGAAAACTAAGGACAAGTGCAACGTCTCCAGAATATATAACCAACAGATGTGCTGTTTGCCAACCCTTCTATCCCATGAACCTATTCCTTGGCTGTTGAGGTCATCATCCTTTAAAAATAATCACTCATTAGGCATTTGCCTGGACATTAAAATTATGGTTATACAAATATTGAAGTGTTCTAAATTTTGAAAAGTTGATAAGCATCTGAAAACTTTTCATATATAACTGTGTATTCTCACAATAATGAGTTCTATAGATTTAAGGTGAGAAACTTTTTATTTCTGCTGTCACAGATGTGATGTCAGAAATATTTAATTCTTGAATATTCTTATTATTTAAATATCACTGATTGAGCCCAAAGCCCTAAATTTGTTGTGATAGCCCTAGTTTTCCATTTGCAGATCCATTTTTCTAAGAATGAAAAATTCTGATATAGTACTAGTGTGGCCTGAAATGACAGTACTGTTTGAAATTTCTCAGCTGGATAAACACTAAAAGGTTTGTTGATATTGCTATTCGGTTTTTAAATTTTTTGCCCGTGGTGATTCAAATAAATGAAAAACCAAAGAAAGGACAATTTATTAGGGTATCATAAGGATATCTAAAATGATGAGCTATTCTGTACTGACTGAAAAAATATTGTAATCAATTTGTATCAATAAATTCATACTGAAAAAAATTTCTTTCCTAATGTTACACGATGGCGTTTTGAACATGAACCTCTCTTGGAGAGACATAACTACTTCCAGATGCAACATACATCTGGTTAGGAAATGAAATGTTTCTACGTACATTTATCAAGACCAAGGCCTTCTATCAACTGGCTCCTGTATATATAAATATAAATATAGATAAATAAATACATATATATATATATATATATATTTTTTTTTTTTTTAACAGGGTCTCACTCTGTCACCAAGGCTGGAGTGCAGTGGTGCTCTCACCTTACTGTAGCCTCCACCTTCCAGGTTCAAGCAATTCTCATTCCTCAGCCTCCAGAAGAGCTGGGATTAAAAAGGCGAGAGCCACCACACCCAGCTATTTTTTGTATTTTTTAGTAGAAACAGGGTTTTGCCATGTTGGCCAGGCTGGCCTCAAACTCCTGACCTCAAGTGATCCTCCTGCCTTGGCCTCCCAAAGTGCTGGGATTATAGATGTGAGCCACAGTGCCCAGCTGGGCTCCTATATTTTTTCAAGATTGTCTCTCACTACCACCCAAAATGCCCATTGTCTTCTACTTACCATCTAATGAAGGGAATGAGTGCTTACTGGTTACTGCATGTGATTGGGGCGTGGTCTATGGCTGTTAGGTATGTTACCTTTGTGATGATTTGTCTGCCTTCATTTAGTCTTGGGAATAAATGCTAGACAATCAAATTAGCCTAAATTCATTCTGCCTACATGTTTCAGATGAGGGTTTTGCCTTGCATGAAACTTGTTGAGAAGTCCAATTTTCTGAAATTATCACACCCTTCAATTCTAGTATTTTCAGCTGTTTTAGAAGCATATGGCAGCAAGAACAGTAATTACCATTGGTATGCTAATGTAGGATAGGCTACATTAGTTTAGTCTCAGAAACGAGAAATAGCAACAATAATACTACCATTAAATGATTTGCATGACTATAATGTCAGATACTATGCTAATATAGTTAGACATATTTTATTTTTTATAATATATCTGAGCAATAGATATTATTATTTCCATTTTATGTATAAAGAAACTGAGACATAGGCCTGGCACCATGGCTAATACTTGTAATCCCAGCACTGTAGGAGGCCAAGGTAAGAGGATCACCTGAGACCAAGAGTTCGAGCCTCATCTGGGAGACATAATGAGATCCCCTCTCTACTAAAAATAAAACAAAAAAGTTAGCCAGGTGTGGTGGAGCATGCCTGTAACCCCAGCTACTCAGGAGGCTGAGGCGCCACTGCTCGCCAGCCTGAGCAACAGTATAAGACACTGTCTCAGAGAAAACAACAAAAAAGAAAAGAAACCAATACAATTGATTAAATATAATTTAATCCAGGATGTGCTGTTCAAGAAACAGATAAATCCAGATTCATGCTTTTAATAATTTATTAGACTGCTACCCTCTACTTTTTAACTTTCATCTCAAGAATGTTAAAATTGCTTTTCCTGTGCTTATTTAAAAGTTGTTAGTGTTGCCTTAACATTATTTTAATATTTTAGCAGGACTCTTTTCGTGTCTTTAGAATTATATTTCCATTTTTATTGTATGCATGTTAATTTTCTTCCTTATTTCTTTCTAATACCAGAATTCAACCATTTTGCGATTGCTGTGACCTACTAAATGTGTCAATTGATATATTTGATTTATAGTTGCTTTTATTTTTAATTGCGTTTATACTTAATGATTCAATTAATTTAGTTTTACCTTTTTTACAATTGCATTATGTTTCTTGGTGATTTGCATAACTATATTTAAAAATAAGCACACTAAAAAAAGCAAGGACTTTACCAATACATCTATTCTAGTCAGTCATTACACACTAAACTCCAGCAATCCAAGGTTAATCATTTTAAATGTATAAATTCTTTAGTAAAATGAAGCTACTGTTTGCTGAATGCTTCAGAATTTTAAGTATTTGTGTATATTGCTTACAATTATACAGCAATTAAGTATTAGCAACCTGTTTCCCAGATAAGGAAAATAATAATCATAAAATTTAAGTAACTCATCCAAGGTCATTTAGCCAGTATGAACCCAACCTGGAACTGAACCTAGATGAATGCGACTCTAAAATCGATGTCCTTTCCAATACATGGAACTGTCATACTGGTATCACAATAGAAAACCTTTTTTAAATAAAAAGATTCTAAGTCTCGCACTAAGAAGATGCAAAATCCCATGAAGCTGTAAGTCACTTACTAGAAATCATCTGATATGACTGATGTCTTCAACATAGCCTTGAATATAAAGAAAACTATAGTAAATGTTATCATATATCACAAAAAGTATGTAAAGAAATTATAATGCATGCAAGACTGCATTACTTTTCAGATGACAAGCAAAAGAAGTTTAAATGTAAATCCGCATTAGGAAAAAGTGACAGCCTCTTTGAAACTGACATTAGAAGTCCAAAGGCTGGCTAAGTCTGGCTCTCTGGATACCCTATTCTTCCCTTTGGTGTGTGGGACCATTTAAAGACCCAGGTCACTAAAAGTAAAAGCCTTCGAAAATGTCCTGAATTCTACAAACCACAAGGAAAACCTCAAGGTAGAATAAAAAATATTGAAAAAATTAATTTGGACATCCTATAGAAGTCAAACTGTTCTGACGTTGATGGTGTTATCCTGGAATGTATAAATAAATGTAAAATATGAAAATGCTGTTCATGGTTGACCAGATAAACTTGAGAGTGGAAGAAAAAATTTATGTTTTTTTATGCCTAAAGGAAAAATATTCTAAATACTCAATATTATTTATCTCTTTGTTTATAAGTATAAAAGGTGATTAGTAACTAGGATAATAAAGAAAAACAAATAGTTGACCAATTGAAAACATATATGCACACTCTACACCTTGGTTACAATGATGGATGAAAATCCAAAGCACAGACAATGCCAATCCTGATGACAATATGGAGCAACAGAAACTTATTTATTGTAAGTGGGAATGCAAAATGATAACTTAATGATGCTGAAAGATAGTTTGGCAGTTTTTAAGAAAACTAAACATACTCTTAACCTGTGATCCAGCAATCATGCTCCTTGTCATTTACCCAAATAAGTTAAAAACTTGGGTATACACAAAAACCTGCACAGAAATATTTACAGCTTTATTCACAATTGCCAAGAGTTGGAAGTGATCACAAATCTCCTTCAATATATTAATAAATAAATAAACTCTGTTACATCTATACAGTGGAATATTATTGAGAGCTAAAAATAAATGAAAAGCTATAAGCCACGAAAAGACAGAAGAGAAATCTTAAGTGTATATTATTCTATCAATAGACAAAAAACAAACCAAAAATTGAATCTCTGAGTTTAACTTCTAGTGGTGAGAGACAGTCAATAAAAGGTACATAGCTCAATAGAAAGTAAAAAATTATATGAATAAAAAGTAGGCATGGAATGCAAAAGAAATGAAATTGATTCCTTACATCATAGACTGTTATTTACCCAAATCTACATGATACAACCTACTACATACCTAGGTTATATGGTATAGCCTATTGCTTCTAGTCTACAAAACAATACAGCATGTTACTGTATAGAAGAGTTACAGTAAAAATATAATGTAAACGATTTTATTTTATTTTTTTTCTTTTATATATATATAATTTTTATTATACTTTAAGTTCTAGGGTACATGTGCACAACGTGCAGATTTGTTACATATGTGTACATGTGCCATGTTGGTGTGCTGCACCCATTAACTCATCATTTATATTAGGTATATCTCCTAATGTTATCCCTCCCCCATACCCCCACCCCACAAGAGGGGGTGTGTGATGTTCCCCTTCTTGTGTCCATGCGTTCTCATGGTTCAATTCCCACCTATGAGTGAGAACATGCGACGCTTGGTTTTTTCTCCTTGTGATAGTTTGCTGAGAATGATGGTTTCCAACTTCATCCATGTCCCTACAAAGGACATGAACTCATCATTTTTTATGGCTGCATAGTATTCCATGGTGTATATGTGCCACATTTTCTTAATCCAGTCTATCATTGTTGGACATGTGGCTTGGTTCCAAGTCTTTGCTATTGTGAATAGTGCCACAATAAACATACGTGTGCATGAGTCTTTATAGCAGCATGATTTATAATCCTTTGGGTATATACCCAGTAATGGGATGGCTGGGTCAAATGGTATTTCTAGTTCTACATCCCTGAGGAATTGCCACACTGACTTCCACAATGGTTGAACTAGTTTACAGTCCCACCAACAGTGCAAAAGTGTTCCTATTTCTCCACATCCTCTCCAGCACCTGTTGTTTCCTGACTTTTTAATGATTGCCATTCTAACTGGTGTGAGATGGTATCTCATTGTGGTTTTGATTTGCATTTCTCTGATGGCCAGTGATGACGAGCATTTTTTCCTGTGTCTGTTGGCTGCATAAATATCTTCTTCTGAGAAGTTTCTGTTCATATCCTTCGCCCGCTTGTTGATGCGGTTGTTTTTTCTTGTGAATTTGTTTGAGTTCTTTGTAGATTCTGGATATTAGCCTTTTGTCAGATGAGTAGATTGCAAAAGTGTTCTCCCATTCTGTAGGTTGCCTGTTCACTCTGATGGTAGTTTCTTTTGCTCTGCAGAAGCTCTTTAGTTTAATTAGATCTCATTTGTCAATTTTGGCTTTTGTTGCCATTGTTTTTGGTGTTTTAGACATGAAGACCTTGCCCATGCCAATGTCCTGAATGGTATTGTGTAAGTTTTCTTCTAGAGTTTTTATGGTTTTAGGTCTAACATTTAAGTCTTTAATCTATCTTGAGTTAATTTTTGTATAAGGTGTAAGGAAGGGATCCAGTTTCAGCTTTCTACATATGGCTAGCCAGTTTTCCTGGCACCATTTGTTAAATAGAGGATCATTTCCCCATTTCTTGTTTTTGTCAGGTTTGTCAAAGATCGGATGGTTGTAGATGTGTGGTATTATTTCTGAGGACTCTGTTCTGTTCCATTGGTCTGTATCTCTGTTTTGGTACCAGTACCATGCTGTTTTGGTTACTGTAGCCTTGTAGTATAGTTTGAAGTCAGGTAGCGATAGGCCTCCAGCTTTGTTCTTTTGGCTTAGGATTGAATTGGCAATGCAGGCTCTTTTTTGGTTCCATATGAACTTTAAAGTAGTTTTTTCCAGTTCTGTGAAAAAAGTCATTGGTAGCTTGATGGGGATGGCATTGAATCTATTAATTACCTTGGGCAGTATGGCCATTTTCATGATATTGATATTCCTATCCATGATCATGGAATGTTCTTCCATTTGTTTGTATCTTTTATTTCATTGAGCAGTGGTTTGTAGTTCTCCTTGAAGAGGTCCTTCACATCCCTTGTAAGTTGGATTCCTAGGTATTTTATACTCTTTGAAGCAACTGTGAATGGGAGTTCACTCGTGATTTGGCTCTCTGTTTGTCTGTTATTGGCGTATAAGAATGCTTGTGATTTTTTTCACATTGATTTTGTATCCTGAGACTTTGCTGAAGTTGCTTATCAGCTTAAGGAGATTTGGGGCTGAGACAACGGAGTTTTCTAGATATACAATCATGTCATCTGCAAACAGAGACAATTTGACTTCCTCTTTTCCTGATTGAATACCCTTTATTTCTTTCTGCTGCCTGATTTCCCTGGCCAGGACTTCCAACACTATGTTGAATAGGAGTGGTGAGAGAGGGCATCCCTGTCTTGTGCCAGTTTTCAAATGGAATGCTTCCTATTTTTGCCCATTCAGTATGATATTGCTTGTGGGTTTGTCATAAATAGCTCTTATTGTTTTGAAATATGTCCCATCAATACCTAATTTTTTGAGAGTTTTTAGCATGAAGGGCTGTTGAATTTTGTCAAAGGCCTTTTCTGCATCTATTGAGATAATCATGTGGTTTTTTTCTTTGGTTCTGTTTATATGCTGGATTATGTTTACTGATTTTCATATGTTGAACTAGCCTTCCATCCCAGGGATGAAGCCCACTGGACCATAGTGGTTAAGCTTTCTGATGTGCTGCTGGATTTGGTTTGCCAGTATTTTATTGAGGATTTTTGCATCTATGTTCATCAGCGATATTGCTCTAAAATTCTCTTTTTTTGTTGTGTCTCTGCCAGGCTTTGGTATCAGGATGATGCTGGCCTCATAAAATGAGTTAGGGAGGATTCCCTCTTTTTCTACTGATTGGAATAGTTTCAGAAGGAATGGTACCAGCTCCTCCTTGTACCTCTGGCAGAATTCAGCTGTGAATCCGTCTTGTCCTGGACTTTTTTTGATTGGTAGGCTATTAGTTATTGCCTCAATTTCAGAGCCTGTTATTGGTCTATTCAGAGATTCAACTTCTTCCTGGTTTAGTCTTGGGAGGGTGTATGTGTCAAGGAATTTATCCATTTCTTCTAGATTTTCTAGTTTATTTGCAAGAGGTGTTTATAGTATTCTCTGATGGTAGTTTGTATTTTTGTGGGATTGGTGGTGATATCCCCTTTATCATTTTTTATTGTGTCTTTTTGATTCTTCTCTCTTTTCTTTTGTATTAGTCTTGCTAGCGGTCTATCAATTTTGTTGATCTTTTCAAAAAACCAGCTCCTGGATTCATTGATTTTTTTGAAGGGTTTTTATGTCTCTATCTCCTTCAGTTCTGCTCTGATCTTAGTTATTTCTTGCTTTCTGCTAACTTTTGAATGCGTTTGCTCTTGCTTCTCTAGTTCTTTTAATTGTGATGTTAGAGTGTTAATTTTAGATCTTTCCTGCTTTCTATTGTGGTCCTTTAGTGCTATAAATTTCCCTCTACACACTGCTTTAAATGTGTTCCAGAGATTCTGGTATGTTGTGTCTTTGTTCTCATTGGTTTCAAAGAATATCTTTATTTCTGCCTTCATTTCATTATGTACCCAGTAGTCATTCAGGAGCAGGTTGTTCAGTTTCCATGTAGTTGAGCGGTTTTGAATGAGTTTCCTAATCCTGGATTCTAGTTTGATTGCACTTTGGTCTGAGGGACAGTTTGTTATAATTTCTGTTCTTTTGCATTTGCTGAGGAGTGCTTTATTTCCAATTATGTGGTTAATTTTGGAATAAGTGTGATGTGGTGCTGAAAACAATGTATATTCTGTTGATTTGGGGTGGAGAGTTCTGTAGATGTCTATTGGGTCCGCTTGGTGCAGAGCTGAGTTCAATTCTTGGGTATTCTTGTTAACTTTCTGTCTCATGGGTATCCCAAAGTAGCCTAACTGGAGGCACCCCCCAGTAGGGGAAGAATGACACCTCACACGGCCGGGTACTCCTCTGAGATGAAACTTCCAGAGGAACGATCAGACAGCAACAGTTGCTATTCAGTAATATTTGCTGTTCTGCAGCCTCCGATGCTGATCCCCAGGCAGACTGTCTGGAGCGGACCTCCAGGAAACTCCAACAGACCTGCAGCTGAGGGTCCTGACTGTTAGAAGGAAAACTAACAAACAGAAAGGACATCCACACCAAAATGCCATCTGTACTTCACCATTATCAAAGACGAAAGGTAGATAAAACCACAAAGATGGGGAAAAAACAGAGCAGAAAAACTGAAAATTCTAAAAATCAGAGCGCCTCTCATCCTCCAAAGGAATGCAGCTCCTCACCAGCAACGGAGCAAAGCTGGACAGAGAATGACTTTGACGAGTTGAGAGAAGAAGGCTTCAGATGATCAAACTTCTCCAAGCTAAAGGAGGAAGTGTGAACCCATCGCAAAGAAGTTAAAAACTTTGAAAAAAGATTAGAGAAATGGCTAACTAGAATAACCAATGAAGAGAAGGCCTTAAATGACCTGACGGAGCTGAAAACCATGGCATGAGAACTAGGCGATGAATGCACAAACTTCAGTAGCTGTCTCGATCATCTGGAAGAAACGGTATCAGTGACTGAAGATCAAATGAATGAAATGAAGCAAGAAAAAAAGTTTACAGAAAAAAGAATAAAAAGAAATGAACAAAGCCTCCAAGAAATATGGGACTATGTGAAAAGACCAAATCTACATCTGATTGGTGTACCTGAAAGTGATGGGGAGAATGGAACCAAGTTGGAAAACACTCTGCAGGATATTATCCAGGATAACTATCACAACCTAGCAAGGCAGGCCAACATTCAAATTCAGGAAATATAGAGAACGCCACAAAGATTCTCCTCCAGAAGAGCAACTCCAAGACACATAATTGTCAGATTCACCAAAGTTGAAATGAAGGAAAAAATGTTAAGGGCAGCCAGAGAGAAAAGTTGGGTTACCCACAAAGGGAAACCCATCAGACTAATAGCTGATCTCTCAGCAGAAACTCTACAAGCCAGAAGAGAGTGGGGGCCGATATTCGACATTCTTAAAGAAAAGAATTTTCAACCCAGAATTTCATATCCAGCCAAACTAAGCTTCAGAAGTGAAGGACAAATAAAATCCTTTACAGACAAATGCTGAGAGATTTTGTCCCCGCCAGGCCTGCTCTACAAGAGCTCCTGAAGAAAGCACTAAACATGGAAAGGAACAACAAGTACCAGCCACTGCAAAATGATGCCAAATTGTAAAGACCATCGAGGCTAGGAAGAAACTGCATCGACAAATGAGCAAAATAACCAGCTATCGTCATAATGACAGGATCAAATTCACACATAACAATATTCACCTTAAATGTAAATGGGCTAAATGCTCCAGTTAAAAGACACAGACTGGCAAATTGGACAAAGAGTCAGGACCCATTAGTGTTCTGTATTCAGGAAACCCATCTCACATGCAGAGACACACATAGGCTCAAAATGAAGGGATGGAGGAAGATCTACCAAGCAAATGGAAAACAAAAAAAAGGCAGGGGTTGCAGTCCTAGTCTCTGATAAAACAGACTTTAAACCAACAAAGATCAAAAGAGACAAAGAATGCCATTACATAATGGTAAAGGGATCAATTTGACAAGATGTGCTATCCTAAATATATATGCAACCAATACAGGAGCACCCAGATTCATAAAGCAAGTCCTTAGAGACCTACAAAGAGACTTAGACTCCCACACAATAATAATGGGAGAGTTTAACACCCCACTGTCAACATTAGACAGATCCATGAGACAGAAATATAAAAGATTTTAAAAGGTACCCTTGTATGGGGCACTTAACATGAATGGATCTTGCAGGAATGGAAATTGCTGTGCATGAATCAATGGGTGAGTGGAGAGAAAATGTGATGTCCTAAGATATTACTGTACATTACTATACACTTTACAAACACTGTATACTTATGCTATACTCAATTTAATCCTTTTTTGTTTCTTCAATAATAAACTAACCTTAGCCTGATTTAAATTTATTACTTTATAAACATTTTAAATTTATTAACTTTTTGACTCCTGTAATAACACTTAACTCAAAACACAAACACATAGTACAGCTGTACAATTTTTTTTGTTTATATCCTTAGTCTATCAGGTATTTCATTTTTTTTAATTTTTCTTTACTTTGAAATATTTTGGCTAAAAACTAAGACACGAACACACACATTATCCTCGGCCCACACAGGGTCAGGATCACTCTATCACTGTCTTCTACCTCCATATGTTGTCCCACTGGAAGGTCTTCAGGGGCAATAACATGCATAGAGTTGTCATCTCACATCATATCAATGCCTTCTTCTGGAATATCTCCAGAAGGACTGGCCTGAGGCTGTTTTAAAGTTAACATTTTTTTTTTTACATAGGAGTACACTATAATGATAAAATATATAGTAAATACATAAACTAGTAACATAGTTCTTCATTACCATTATCAAGTTTTATGAACTGTATGTAACTGTATTGCTATAGTTTTGTATGACCGGCAGTACGGTAGGTTTATTTGGTTTATTTATGCCAGCATTACCACAAACACATGAGTAATGCTTTGTCACTGGGTAATTTATAAAGAAAAAGAAATTTAATTGACTTATGGTTCCACATGGCTGTGGAAGCCTCACAACTATGGCAGAAGGTGAAGCAGAGGCACATCTTACATGGCAACAGGCAAGAGAGCATGCACAGGGGAACTACACTTTATAAAACCATCAGATCTCATGAGATTTACTCACTCTCACGAGAACAGCATGAGAAAGACCCATGATTCAATTACCTCCTACTGGATCTGTACCATGACATGTGGGAATTATGTTTAATGACCTAGAATATGGTCTCTCTTGGTGTGTGTTCTATGTACACTTGAAACATTATGTATTCTGCTATTGTATGGAATTCTCTATAAATGTCACATAGGTCTAGTTTGTTATTGGCTGATAATTGCCAGTTTTGTTCCATTTGTCCCGTTTGTTCTCTGTTTTCTACTTCCTCTTTTTCTACTTTCCTTTGGATCAACTGACAATTTTTATATTACCACTTTATCTCCTTTATTGGCTTATTTGTGTTAACTTTTTGTTGTGTTATTTTAGTGGGTATATGTTAGAAATCTTTAACTTATCACAGTCTACCTTTGTGCAATTTACTATCATTTTAGTTATAGTATAAACTTGGCTTTTTAGTGGTGAGAAATCTGCTGTTGGACATCATTACCTTTGTTTCTCTGAATGTAATGTATCCTTTTTCTCTGGCTGCTTTTAAGATTTTCTGTTTGTCACTGATTTCAAACAATTTTATTATGATGTGCCTTGGTGAACTTTTCTTCATGTTGGCACACTTGAGCTTTGGTTCACTGAGCTTCTTGGATCTATGATTTTTCATGCATAACAAATTTGGAAATTTTTCTTCAAATAATTTTTCTCTCTCTCTTCTCTCTTCCTAGGACTTCAATTACATGTATACTGGTCCATTTGAAGTTGTCCCAGAGTTCACTGATGCTATGGTTTCTTTTTTTCACCCTTTTTCTGTGCCTCATTTTGTAAAGTTTCTGTAGTTATTTATTCAGGTTTAGTAATTTTTTTCCTGCCATTTTTTATCTGCTCTTAATCCCATAGAGTGTATTTTTCATCTCAGACCCTGTCATTTTCACCTTTTGAAGTTCTATTTGAGTCTTCTAAAAACACCTTCCATGTCTCTTACTAATATGTTCAATCTTTTTTCTGGTTTCTTGAATATGTGAAATATTGCCATAATGAATGTCTAAATATCCTTATCTACTAATTCTATTTTATTTCTGGATAGTTTGATTGATCATTCTATTCATTATGATTTATATTTTTCTTATTCTTTGCCTGCCTTGTAGCTTTTGATTGGATGTCAGATATTGTAAAATTTACCTTGTTGGGTGCTGATTATTTTTGTTTTCTTATATACAAATATTCTTATTTTCATCCTGAGACTCACATTACTTGCAGAGTTTTATCTCCTTGAGTGATACTTTCAAGTTTTGTTAGATAGGACCAGGAAAGTATTTTTTCCAAGTCTTATTTTGTTCCATTATGTATGCAAACAACAATGTTCCTTAAATTATGAATTCCCACTTTTTCTCATGATAACAGGAATTATTCTCAACCTTTTATTTCCTGGGTGTTATTTTACCCTAATTCTTTTAGAATTATGTTCTCTGGCCCTAAGTAGCATTCTCACTTACATATGCTGATCAGTACTCAACTGAACACTCAGGGGACACTCTAAAGATTTCCAGAGTTCTGCACTGTGAGGGTCCCTGGTTCAACAGCAAATATGGGCACTATTGCTAGTAGATAAGTAGAAATCGTGGCTGGAGATTATGAAACATCTCTTCTGACTGAGTTTTCTCATATAATTGGAAAGATGGTCATCAGCTGAAAGTATGAAATGAAAAGAGATGGGTAGTGTTAGATTTTGAGAAGAGAGGAATAAATAAGGAATGGGAGAGTGGTTGGAGAAGATATAATAATTGTTAGAATTAAGGGGCAAGAAATTTGAGGGTGGATACAAGGAAATGAATATAATTATTGGCTAAGAAGTATAAACTGGGAAGGAGAGAAATTAGGATGAGAAGAGAATAAAACAAAATGAAGATGTGGTAGAATCAGATGAAGGGGTTGAGGAGCAGGATCATTGAATTTACTAATTACAGTGAGTTAAAAGGACAAAAGTGGTTGCCAGAAGGATGCTTGACATTGAGATTTCTGATGATATCATCGATATTAATTCTGACAGGTCTAGGATACAATCCAAGGAATGAAAGTTTAGGTGAGATAAACATGAAGTTCAGGGAACTGAGAAGCCAATGTTTTGGAAGCGTCAGCCATGTGGACACCAAAATCACAAATATATGATTTCAGAGTGACAGAAAATCAGAAGCAAAAGCCTTCAAGATACAGGATACAATTGGATTGAAAGGGGAGATTATAACCCAGTGGTAGGTATATTATTGCAACAAAGAAGGTAATGGACACCATAACCTGATACATGAAATTCAAAATTAAAGAGTCTTAAGGAAGCAGGAGCAAGAACACTCTAGAAAAAACAATTCAGAGGAGGAGGATGCTCAAACCAGATTTAGGCTCATGGTATAGAAAGAGGACTATGGGAAAGCAGTATCCTCAAGGAAGACTTGAATTTATGTTAGAGCCAGAGGTAAAGGGAGCACTCAAAAAAAGGTTTAACGTATAGGAAGATTTCTCTTTTCCATGACTAATGTGCTATGTGTTCCAAAGGACTCAGTGGAAAGCTTTCAGAAGTTGGAGATGGCTAAGAGATAGAGAGAGAATTGAGATTGCACACAATCTTCAGTGAAATTAAATATAGAAGGGGAGAATGTCCTGGGAGTCTGGGGATTCTCATGGTCACTGGCATAATCAGGATAAAGGCATGTTGGTATTACTTCTGTTTGTCTCAAGTTAGAGAGAACAGGCAAGGCCATGATTCTTGTAGAAACATTTAAGAGTAGTTTAGGCCAGGAGCCTCCTGTCTTTTCTTGTAATAGGAAAAATAGTAACTAGAGAAGGGCCAATATTATATCTAAGAGGCTCCCCTTGACTCCCGTGGATGGATGGAGGCTTACAAGTCTGGAGAGGGGCTGTCTTAGTTCCTTTTCTGTTGCTGTTACAGAATATCACAGGTAGGGTCATTTATAAGGAAAAAAAGTTTATTTGGTTCCTGGTTCTGGGGTCTGGGAAGTCCAAGAGCATAGCAGTGGAATCTGGCATGGCAGGAAGGTGGAAAGCAAGAGGGCAAGAAAGTGCACATGGGAGAGAAAGCTTGCTTTTACACAAGTCACTCCTGCAAAAACTAACCCACTCCAGTGACAATGGCATTAATCCATTCATGAGGGCAGAACCCTCATGACCCAATTGCTTCCCAAAGGCTCCACTTCTCAACACTGCCACAGTGGCAGCCAAGCTTTTAACACATGAACTTTGGGGGAACAAATTCAAATCATAGCAGAGGCCTTCTAACGCTCAGTCCACAATGTTTCCTCTGGACCCCAGCAGGTAGGAATAATTTCTCTCCTAAGTGACTTCAATACCACTTTCTGAATATGTAATAGGTTACCTAAACGGTTCTTTCTCAAAGATGATCTCTTGTGCCCAAGTGGTAGAGCAAGAATTTCTTTCAGCTCCACTCAACTCCTATGAAATAATTAAAAGGTTTTTTTAATGTGCATTCTTTTTTCATTCTGTATCTTTTTCATGCTGATGCAATAACCCTATTGTCTTTTACACATGACTAAAAGAATGGCCTTCCAAACTGAATGATTATTCAAATGAAAAATTCTAAGCTGGCTGACATCCTTCCAAGATACACTACTGTCAGGTAGAATCAAACATCAAATAAGTGTATCATTTTACCCACCCACTAACCTCCTCATCTCTGCTAAATGGAATATAATACCGTGGATATCAATGAATGGCAAATGAATTTTAAACATATAATAACCTGAATATGAGAATGAGTATCAACACACATTAATTTAATTTAATGACAGTATTACCACTGACACATTTCTGTAGCACATTATAATTTACACTGTAATTTCATGTTTGATTCTCCCTCAATACTGTGCATATATTATTATTACTGCTTTGCAGATAAGAAAAGTGGCTTTCAAATAGGTTAAGGGCATAGAGGTGGGCTGTGTTGAAACCCAAGTTTTCTGAGCATATTGTGCTATTCATTTCAGAATAATTAATATATTGAAACAAGAGAATGAACTAGAGTCTGCATCTTCTGACTTCAAGCCACGAGTCCTTTAACCTACACCATCTCTGTATGCAACAGACAATTTGGAGCATTTGATTTTGATTAGGCACAGTTCATCCAAAGTGTAATACCTGAATTATTGTTTTTTTTTCTACTTAAGAGGGCCACCTTTATAATATGCATTTACTCATGCTCCCTTTCTTTCTCTTTCTCTGCTTTCTCTTTCTTTCTTTCTCATTTTCTTTCTCTTTTTCTCCTTCTCCTTCCCTTTCCCTTTCTCAATCTGTCTCTCTCTCTCCCCCACAAAATTACTATCTGCTCAGTTAATATCTTCCTTGTTATATTTATTTCTGCCAACTATATTCTGTTATTTTTATTTTAAATTATAAGCCATGAATGTGAAAAAACATGACTCTGCTTTTCAATGTCTTTAGAAATTAATTTAAAAATATCTGGAGTGATTAATTTGGTTTAGCACTCTGAAATCATGTTAGTCACATGTGTCTCAGAGGGTGAATATAATTTTTAAAATGATGACATGTAATTTGCATATAGACAGTATTTGGATACTAAATATATTTAATTGCATTCCATTAATATATTCCCATTTCACTTTACTTGCAGCAAGAAAATGATTATTCTTACACTGATTTGAACACACACACAAAACCTAGTCTCTTTTTAAACGTTGCATTCCTACAAATGGTGGAAAAATATATTTAAATATATCTTTCAATTAATTAGGTAAAAAGTAAAATTTTACAATAAAATATTCTGCCTTTATCTTGATGTAAGAGCTTCTTATATATGACTACTGTGTGCATTGAGAACACTGATGCCTCTATGAAATCTTAAGGAAAGAACCATAAAGAGGTATGTGGTAATAACCTGAAAAAAAAAGAACAAACACATTAAACAGAAGTGCCACATCATGGGTTTTTCTTTTCATAAAATTGTACAAAAAATTTATTTGCACTTAATTAATGGGTAAGTTATTCATGAATAGGGATTTAAACTCACCCTCACTTGAATATTTTGGAAATAAATTAATATTAAAAAAACAGCTAAATTAGAAAAATATCTTAGTTATTGAGGAATTTCAGTTCCAAAAGGTAGGAAATAAATGCAAAAGTATACTGCTTCTTGATATTTTTAATTTTGTTTCAAATCTTAAAGAGAGTCATAGTCCCATTAGAATATTTCTACAAGACCAGTGCTCTAACCCCTGAGCTATGAAGCCACTAGAATATTTATTAAATAATACAAATACATAGGATTTACACTTTCTCAAACATTCCATTTTCAGAGCAGTATCAGGAATCACAGGCATTACATTTCAACCTACTGGGAGAGTCTTACAGAGTCTTTACCAGCCTATCCACTTGGACATATTATTCATATAGAAAAAATATTAATCTTACTTCTTATTTGGGAATACTATCATTTTCCTAATGTTCTCCCAATTTCTTACCTAACACTTAACTTGGCCACCTTAAGATAAACTTAATAGAATGAGTTTCAATTCCCCTTGGGACAATAAGTTTATAATATATATATATATATATATGTAACCATCCACAAGGAGGGATATGATGTCTGCTGTTTAGCAACAAACCAAAGATGATAATAAAATCATTAACTCTGTCAATATAAATGCTAATAGAAAAGGGAAATTGGATCCATGCCTGGTATCACATTTTCTCTGATAGGAAATTAGAACAGAGAAATTGAATCTGACAAATCATAGCATTTAGAGACCAACATCAAAATTGTAGTCTGGAGTACACAATAAATGGCAGAATGCTTCTTAATTAAACTGTGCTTTTGTTAGGCCAGAATAAATACCTTTTCCCTGGCCAATAAAGTGAACCACAGACTCTCAGAGGGACCCTTAAAAAATATAGTACAAAATAAAAGCCATAATGTTAGCAAAAATCAAGTTGACAAGCCTGCACTAATTATCTTTAGTATTACAACACTGCTAATGGAGCTGCAGTTTGAAAGATAATAGAGGTGAACTCATTAGCAGTGCCTTGAACTAATGTTTGTATGGGAGCATTTATTGCCTGCTAGTCCTTATGTAGCTCAACATTTTACATTAGCATATTAAATAGGGCTCTAACTTGATTTGTGAGCATTTTTTCAACCTCTTGGTATAAATGACTTCATTTGGGGGAAAACAAATTTAAATCAACTGGAGAGTATATAAGTCTTCATTCAAGGGCAAAGATCAGGGAATTGTTAAGATAATTAAACTTTTGAGAAATAATTTGAAATTACATTCAAAGTTAGCCTTGAAACATTCCTATTAAGCTTTATTTATATAAACAAAAAAAGTCTATAATAATACGGGGACATGTTATAGCTTTTCTAGAGTTTTATTATGTTTAGGGAAATTTAACCATATTTTAGTAACACAATGGAAATAATTTCTATTGTTTTATAATAAGAAAAGTGTGGGACTTGTGTGTTTGGAAAATAACAATGGAATAATCAGTATGACCAGGTTTTTGCTGGTTACTTTTAGTTTAGTTTACTAGCTTATTTGAGTACAAGATTAAAAATCTGTGTAAATGCCCACAAGAAACCCTATCATCTTTGAATTTTCACTGACTGTAATCACACTCTAATGATGCTTTATTACACTAATATTTAATGTGTACTTCTCTCTATTTCATATAGTATAGAAGTTTTATGCTGTTCCTTTTCACTTGGCTCAAACTACAGTCTTAACTAAGTTATTAAATCGAGTTATGAGTTTTCTCTCTCTGAATTTAATTTCAATGCCATTTTTTCTATGGTAAATTTTTGTAAGAAATATTTAATTATAAAAAGCCTAAATGCTATCAAATGCCCTTTAAAGGAGAAACACATGTTCATGACCTTAATTTAGCATGATATTTCTCCAATTTTATGTATTTCTCACAAAGAAAATTAATATGTGTTTTTTACAAATAATATAATTCATACTACCTGGATATTAAAGGAAATTAGCTATAACAGTAAAATGTATTATGTGGCCTTAAAACTGTCATAAAATCCCATTGTTTAAATTAACCCACACCCATTTCAAACATATCATTTTCCCTGTAGACATTTTGTATATTTAAAAAATTGCTAACATATATCCATATCAACAAACAAAACAAATATTATGGGCCAGCCATGGTGGCTCACTCCTGTAATCCCAGCACTTTGGGAGGCCAAGGCAGGCAGATCACTTGAGCCTGTGAGTTCAAGACCAGCCTGGGCAACATGACAAAACCAGGTCTCTACAAAAGATTTTAAAAATTAGCCAGGAATGGTGGCATGCACCTGTAGTCCCAGCTACCTGGGAGGCTGAGATGGGAGGATCACCTGAGCCCCAGAGGTCAAGGCTGCAGTGAGGCGTGATTATGCCACTGCACTCCAGCCTGGGCAAGAGTGAGACCCTGTCTCAAACAAATATGCATATGTAAACCTATTTAAAGCTATGTTTTGGAGCACTACATGTGTATGTTTACATGTGTGTCAAGTTCTTAAGTATGCTGTACCTAGGCACATACATATACTTGAACTTAACAATTTTGTAGATGTGTAGTTATAAATTTAAGAACAAAATGGAATTAGTGTAGTCATATGTTGCTAAACAATGGAGATACATTCTGAGAAATACATCTTTATCCAATTTTCTTGTTATGTGAATGTCATGGAGTGTACTTACAAAAATCTAGGTGGTAAAGCCTATTACACACCTAGGCTATATGATATAGCCTATTGCTCTTAGGCTACCAACCCATACAGCATGTTTCTATACTGAATACTATAGACAATTGTAGCACAATGGTAAATATTTTAGTATCTAAAAATAGAAAAGGCACAGTAAAAATATGGTGTTATAATCTTATGGGACCACTGTCACACATGCTGTCTGTCATTGACCAAAACATTGTTACATGTGCATGGCTGTATATTTAAAGTTACACAAAGTTTGAATTGGAAGAACCAGAAAATGAAACAAGAAAAGTTACATAACCTCTCCCTAGTTGGCTAGTAAAATTCTAATAATCTTAAAATTGGTGTAGATTTTTAGGATGAGGATCTAGGAAAATTTTGACCTTGGAAGAATGCACTGAGTTATCCATCCCACTCCTATTACTTCTCACCTAGTAAGAAGTGATAGCAGCCAAGTGAATCTAGACCTGAACCAGACAAAATGGTCCCCTCAGACATATAACCTTGAAGAGCTCTGAAAAAGACAGCCTGTTTTTGTCTTGCTTGAGAGAATGTGTCTGCCTACTAGGAAGTTATTAGAGGTCTTAATAATATCTATACTAACTTCTTTCATATAAATCATCAAAAAAGCAATTTTAATTGATAAATATTTATCCTGTAAATAGGTTACTTTATCACAGATTTATTTAGTAGGTTCTAGGGTTGTTTTGGTTTTAATTCCTTCTCATATATTTCAAACTGCTTAGGTGACCTCCAATGCTCAGATGAATTAGAATTAGAAACTATAACCAAACATTAAGGAATATTGCTAATGTCACACACATACATACAAACGTTCCTCCAGCTTTTTCCAGAAAAAAAATAGAAGTGGAGTACCTCTATCCATGTCCACATCTAAGTACTTTGGTAAAAGTGAAACAGTAAGAATAAAAAACAGTAACTTATTTAAAAAATAAAACAAAAATAGAACTTAAATTTCTAGACTTTGCAAATAAAATATTTTACCAGCATTCCTAGAGTTCTACTTTTAATTTTCTCATGTGATTGAAGGAAAACAATGAAACTACCTAATGAGGTTGCTGCATAGATTAATGCAAAATAACTAAAGCATGGTGAAAATGTGGCACACTTTACAAATGCAAATGAACAACTGAGATGTCAGTAATTAATAATATATCTAAACAAGGTTTATTATTTTAGGAAATTAAATTAAATTGCCAGACACTTTCAGTACATTGCACAAGCAAAAGAATGTTTAAGTAATTTTTTGTCTAAAAATTTAATGATTACTGAAATAAAACATACATAGTAATCATTTAATGGTACCTAAGAAATATCATAGAGAGTTCCCAGAAAATATTTCATTTGGCTGGGAGGCCAGTACTTCTGGAGAGGCCAGTACTCTGAATGTCCCTGTGTTGTGTCTCATCATCGAAAGAATCTTTAAATCTTACAAGGCAAGGAATCTCAAATGTCACCCATTACAGGAGTCTTGCGTCTTTCAGAAATGAGCCTGCACGAGGATCATTGTCATGGAGACGCCTGGGGAAAGTATGACTCTGAAAAACAAACAAACAAAAAATGCAATGGTGGAAACAGGGAGGTGGCAACTGGGTCTTCAACTTCCTATGCTCTCTGCAACTAGCCACGGAACCACGCTAAACTAGGAGGTGGCCTGAACTTAGACTCCATGTTATGTGTTATCAAAGTCTGGGTATCATTCTGCCTTTTATAGCAAGCAGTGGCCTACATAATTTACTTTTTAAATGCTTTGCTGATATAGGTGTGTACTTTCACCTATATAAGAAAACAGCATCTGAACATCCAAAATAATCTATTCAGTGAAGTCTCAATAAAGGTTATTCATTCTGGCATTTTTGTTTTTCAACATATGCACTTCAACCAGCTCTGTGTATCTCTGTATGGACTGAGGAGACAAATAGCAATGAAATATATTAGGGACGATGTTTATAAAGAAATCTCATATAGCACGCTCTTCTGGTCACCTCTGGAAATATTGGCATATTTTGACATTGTCATTTTTAAAAATGCAAGAATTGGCTACAGTTGATTATCTTCTTTACATTTGAAAAGCGTATTGATCACTTGAACTAACTATTCAAGTTTCTTAATTGGACAATCAGGATCCGAAAGCTGGATAAATGTTAAACAGAAGAGCTTCTTCTTTATTGACTACTTCAAAGGCACTAATGAGATTATTTAGGGTAATTTTGTTCCTTCTACTGATTAAATATTCTGATTGTACAATATTGACATTCCTTGATGATAAAATGCAATTGGATTATCGAAACTCATTTTAATGACTTGGGATTCATTGTGTAATTTATTGCAGACATTCTTAATTATTTAAGGAATGATTTTTTTTTTCTATTTACTAAAAATTTTATTTTCTACAGAGTGCAGTCTGAACCACCTTGGCTTTTTTCTTAATGTCAAGACATTTAAACTTACACCATAGAAGCCACTGAATCTCAAACCTTTGGGACTTCTCTAAAAATACAATTCATAAAATTCCCTGAAAACTATGATTGGCTAATTTCATGGTCTTGATGACCAGGGAAAAATGATATATTATGAAGAAATTAGAGACCATGACATTGAGAACAGTCGTTTTCCTAGAATTTCTTTTTCTTCTTTTCCTTCTTCTATTCTTTTTTATCTTTTTTATAATCTATTGCACTCTTGATCGCACATGCATTTCAAAAGCATCCACATGTCTCATCTCATTTGATATCCCAATTTGAGTCAGGTGTTACTTCTCATATCTTATAAATAAAAGTATTGAATATCAGGTAATTTGATATTTGCTTTACATCAGAGTTAGTTGGTGGCAGATCTAGAATTAGCATGTATGGCTTTTTTTTCCTTTTCATATTGCTTCATGGTCTTGTCCAAATTCTTTTCATCTGAATATAAATTGATTAGAAAATTATTAGTGTGCTGACTTTTATATGCATAGCATATGTAGTATATTTATATGATACATTTAGAAGTACATATTATTCCCATCTCTAGTTGTTTTTTTCCACCTCTAGTGAATGTATGTTCATTATCACAGTCTTCTAATACCCAGAGTTTACTTTCAGATGTGATTTGAAACAAGTAGAGACAGAATTTTCATGTCACTTATTTTGAAAAGAGCTACCATTATAAATTCTAAATAAAGTCCTTCTCCAAGCAATAAATTGTCATTTATTTTCCTTGTTTCTAAGACAAGTATACCCTTAATATCAGGTAAAGAAGAAAAAATGAGGATTTGGCATAAGTCCTTGGTATCCCAGAGCCCAGCACATGTTCCCACAGCATAGGGTAGATGAAAAATTAGTTCATTTTTTAAAATTTCCTATGTGCTCCCTGGAAAGCTAAAGGAGCTATAGGAGTCCAGGGCTGCCCTAATTGCTTTCTATTCATTACTGTTTACTAGTTTATGAATATGCTTATTAAATACAGGTCCATTGAATTGCATAAATACTTTCATGGGTCTCACAATGGGGACCACTCACCCATTCACCACACTGAGTTCTTTCCAGAAGCAAACAAGTAGGTTAAAAGTGTTCCTAAAACACAGAAGCAGCAGTCTCTGAATCCAACTTCAGTATACAAAGACTTTGTAGTCAGTCATTTATCCCAAGTGGGATGAAAAGTAGCCTCAAAAAATGTATTAGTGTAATTCAGTCTCAAGTTGGGAATAAAATTGAAACAGAATAGTTCTCTTGACTCCTTCAAGAGACTTGTGAAAAGGTTGGCTCATTTATTCAGCCCTCAGCTCTCAACCCCACACGGGATGGGGAGCACACAGATTAGCCAGGGCAGAGGCCAGTATGAGTACTTCTGAGCACCCAACAGCAGTAGAACTCCCTGTGGGCCTGCAGCAGCATCTAGGGGTTGTCCCCAACCCCTCAAGCCCTAGAGGGTGTGTGTTACAGTGTGCTTTTTCAGTTTGGCCATCTGTGGATGGCTCAAGTGTAAGACAGCTCAGTGGAGGGTCAATGTGACAGCCTCTTGCACCTGCACCTGGGTCCTTGTCCAGTGTTCAGGAGGAATTAGTTTGCACGAATGAATTGAAGATGGTAAATACAGAGGATCTGGTTGCCAATTGAAGTGGTTCCCAGGAGGATGAGGAGGTAGAAAGGGGATGGAGTGGGAAGTTGGTCTTACTCTGGAGTTGGACCATCCCCAGCCAAACTCCTCTCCAAGGTCCCACCATCAAGCCATCCCTCTGAATTCAAGCTGCTTGTCTCCAATGTCCAGCTGCTTCTTCTCTTCTCTCCTTCTCTGCTACTCTGCCACTCTGCCAGTAGAGCCTGGGATTTTTATGAGTACAGGATGGGGGTTGGAGTGTTCCAGGGTGGTTTTGGAAAAAACAACATTCGGATGGGAAAACAGGAATGCATGTTCTCACTTAGGGCCATGGGTCCAGGCTTGAAGGTGGGACTTCGCCAGGGACCCCACCCTATTCTGCCTAGTACTTCCCTGCCTCTTGTCTAGATCAAAATTACTCAGGTAAGGTATTTTTCTATGGGGTCTGTCAATTAATATATGATTACCCAATATAAAGACAGGGAGGAACAAGATCACTTTTATTCCATAAACTTTACAAATTAAAGTTGCAAATATTGACAGAACTATTAAACCTATTTAACAATTTAAATGATAAGAGGACAAAACATAGATTCTCTCCTTAAGGGAAAATTTGAACCATCTTCTGGTTCCTCCTGACAAATGCATCATCTTAATATTACCTGAATTACAATTTCACTTGTTACAAATTCATTAATTTCTTATTGAAGCACGTGATTTGTGACTTTTGAGTACTTAGATGTTGAATATGTAAATGACCATACACTAACAGAAGGACTTCTGCATTTAATAAAAATTATCTTCAGCTGGGTGCGGTGGCTCACATCTGTAATCCCAGCACTTTGGGAGGCAAAGGCGGGCAGATTGCCTGAGGTCAAGAGTTTGAGACCAGCCTGGCCAACACGGTGAAACCATGTCTCTACTAAAAATACAAAAATTAGCTGGGCGTGGTGGCAGGCTACTCAGTTGCTGATTACATTAATCAGGTGCTGCAAACTTAGGAGATGAAAGACAAGTCTCAAATCCATCTCTCTGACTGATTAAGAGTACCTGTAATCTCAGCTACTCAGGTGACTGAGGCAGGAGAATAGTTTGAACCCAGGAGGGAAAGGTTTCAGTGAGCTGAGATCACGCCATTGCACTCCAGCTTGGGTGACAAGAATGATACTTCATCTCAAAAAAAATTATCTTTTTTATTTTTATGCAAAAGCCAAAATTATCTCATTGTGGAAAACTCATTTTATGATATTGCTTATATCTACTTGTATGTTATTAATGAAATAATACATCCATTCCTGTATTATGTTATTAATGAAATAATACATCCATTCTTGTATTATGTCATTCAACAAAAATTTTTGAGGGCCTAATCTATTCAGAGATTGCTTGGGATTAATTACTAATAAATCCAAATTTTATTTGAGAATAAAACAAAGATCCTTCCTCCCTTCATGGGTTATTCCTACAGAATAACAGATTTATGTGGGATAAAATTAATAAATCATATACTGTCAAAAAGATGGTGTAGTTAGATGTAGCCTCGTTGTTGCTAGAAAAGCACCTATTTAGCATAGATAGAAAATTTCTATTGGCGAGGATTGAAGAGTAGGTGTAGATAACGAGAGATGGCATAAAGACTCTTTCAGAAGCAACAAAACAAAGATTGCATAAATATGTTGTATCAATAATTTCAGGTCTTAAAAACCCCTGGAAATGTAGGAATCTTTGACAGAACTTCCTGGAATAGCAGAATTATCAACTTATGTGACCTACTTGTGTGTGTGTGTGTGTCTGTGTTTGTCATGTGTGATGACTTGACCATTCCAGCTGGTGCTATTACTGAACACCAGGGGTTTGGTCTAGGTCCTGCTGTTCACTGCACAGAATGCCAATCACTGAGACAATGTGTATTGCCAGGGAAGAAGGCATTAATCAGGTGCTGCAACTTAGGAGATGAAAGACCAGTCCCAAATCCATCTCTCTGACTGATTAAAATTATGATTTCTTATCCGGGGTCTTTGGCTGGGCTTTGAATATCAGCTTAAGGCCATTTGAGAGTTTACAAGAACATTACTATTTCCCCTGAAAGGTATGCCAGAGAGATTGGTTTAACCCAAATATGGTTAATCCACAGCTCAATATTATATAGTAGGGAAGGAATGTAACTACACGTGGGTAAACAGGAATTAGGGAGGAGCAAGTAAATCATGAGGGATGAAGGGTCTGGCTTCTCCTTGTCTGGATATAGTGGATCTGGTGAGTTTTAGTCCCTTGATACTACCTGGGAGGCCTGAGGATCAGTGGTCTGAGGAAGGAACTGAGATAAGACACATGCAAGTTGCAAGCTTTAAGACTGTAAAATCAGTTCTATAAGACAATTGGGTTGGTTTCAGCACCTCCTTTAAATTTATCAGTCCCTCAATCATGGTAAATCTGGTCATATCTATTTGACTGCTTCATGCTCAGAAGGGGCATCATGGAATAATATTGATGAATAAAAATGTCACCCCTGTAATTGAAAGTACTCCGAGGTGCCTGGTCGACATCTGGCTTGTTGAGCACTGTAACCTGGGTACTTTTATTATTGATTTTAGAACAACAATTTAAGCCACATTGACTAGTATGATTAATAACATAGATAACTTGAAATTAAAAATACCAAAGGATATAGACTGAATCCCCTGGGGAATCTAAGATAATAATCCTGAACACTACATCATGTTCCCTTTATGATTTCTTATCTAGGATCTTTGGCTGGGCTATGAATATTAACTTAAAAACAACTGAGAGTTCACAAAACCATGACTATTTCCCCTGGAGGGAACCCCAGAGAGACTGGTTTTACCCAAGTATGGCTAATCCACAGCCCAACATCAGCTAACTTGACAGATGAGTGGGTGGTCAGCAGCACATTAAACAGAGCTGACCTCTTGTGGATGCAGTTGGTCTTCAGCCTGGTGGGATATCCAGGTCTTCAGCAAGACTTTGTCCCCCAGTTTCAAAGAGTGAAGAGGCACATTGGTAGGAAACTAGAGCCTGCTGGAAACAAACTCAGAGAGAGTAGTTAATATATTTCCTAATTTTTTATGTATGATCTAGCTTCTGTTTCAAGAGAAGAAAAGGTCCTCTAGTGTCAGGGAGTTTAGGGATTTGGAGAAATGGTCTTCTGTACACATTTTAAATGGGCTCAAGCCAATCCACTTCTGAGGGCTACCTGTATCCTCAGCAGGGAATGGGACAAGACCTTTTCCCAGGTAAGATTTGTCTCTTGGCAACTGGGGTCCCTTGGCCACAAGTGGGCATGTTCAATTGGTGGAGGGCTTAGGATTGTATTTTGCCCCATACCATTTCTGGGTTGGTATGGCTACCTGCTACAGGTCCATCCTGTCATTTGTTGGGACCCTACAGCCAAGGGACTTAAATCAAAAGACTCATAGCCAATTACACATTCTAGACCAGACATGAATGGAGGTGGACAGACATTCATGAACCCTTAAAACCTTTTAAGTAACATAGATCCCAAAACTAAAAGCCACAGACTAAGGTTACAGAATTGCTTGTGATTCAAAGGAATTTCCTTTGCTATTTAAGAGGCCACTCCCTGGCCTGGGAGGCCTAGCTCTCCAGGCCCCGAAGCAGTGTTATGTCTTCGGCACTGGTATAGAATGATGAGCTGTTTTTAAGGTCTATGTAAGATTGTAAACAACCACTAAAAAATAACTTACATAACTAATTTTGTCCCTCAGAATTGGCCCTTACAGTCTCACACACCCACCTCTTCTATGAGCCTAGAGGAATTAAATGATTTTAATTTCTGGCCCTGTGTCACATGAAAGCAGTTCATTTTGATTGTCACCTTCTCCTGAGTCTGAAAAAGAGGCTTGGAATGCCAATATTCAAGATTTTTCTGGAGTCTGTACCTTTTTCAGACCCAGGAGTGAAGTCCTATAACTTAACTGCATGACATTTACACTGCAAAAGTCCTATCATTCTCTCTAACACATCTCAAATTAAAACACTGTCATTTGGTGTCTAGTAGTTGCTGCCTGCACACTTCGAAACACTGTATTAAAGTGGTAAGGTTATTTCTTACATATGTCCAATTGCTAGCATTCTAGTGACAGAACTGTGACCAAAAGCATCAAAACTATGATGGGTTATATACCAAACTCTATTGTTATTATCATTATTATTATTATTATTATTACTTTAGATAGGATCTGGCTCTGTAACCCAGGATGGAATACAGTGGCACAATCTAGGCTCACCGCACTGTCTGCCTCATGGGCTCAAGCCATCCTTGCACCCCATACTCTGGAGAAGCTGGGACTACAGGTGTGCATCACCACACCCAGCTAATTTTTGTATTTTTTGTAGAGATGGAGTTTTGCCATGTTGCCCAAGCTGGTCTTGAACTTCTGAGCTCAAGCAATCCACCCGCCTCAGCCACCCAAAGTGCTGGCATTACAGGCATGACCCACCACTCCCATCCTATTAAAGTAAGACAATTACATTTTCTTTTCATAAAAAATGGTAAATGCAAATACCAGTTTGGGAAATTCAGTATGAGGATAAATGGCCTACTTTTGCTTAAATACTACACAACAAAATGGGAACAGAGTAAGAAAAAGCACACAATACTTTCTTTACAGCTACTTAAAAGAGTATTATCCCAAAATTCCAAGATTGGTTTCCAGATATAGTATTGAAAACTTCTTAGTTTATTTTTACCACTAGAACCTTCAAACCAGTGCAACACTTGTACATATTTTGTTTACAAAAGTGCACACATGAAGGCCCATCTGTGATAAAAGACTCAGGATAAAAATCATTAGTAAGTCTAACTTTTTAAATTATGATTTAATCCAAGTGAATGTCACTTAATTTTAATAATGGTAGACACAACTAAAGTAGTTTGAAAGAAATTCCAGTCAATATAATTTTCTTAAGAACAAGGCCAATCGTTCCTGAAGATTAGAACCTTGTAGCCATATCATGTTTTTTTCCTCATTACCTAAAGGAAAAGATCCTTTCCTTTAAACTTTCATGGGTATATTAGAACTTTGTGCCCATATCACAGTTTTTCTCGTTACCTAAAAAGATTTTTTCCAATTAAATTTCAATTGAATTGAATTACCTTGGAAAAACACCATTTAAACATTTCTACTCTCATTTACATTTCAGAATAGCAAAATGAATAATGTACTATCTCTGTTTAAAATTTGTAAAAATGAGTGTTTAATTTTTTGGCCAGAAATCTCAAAGCTCTTATAGCTCTCTTAATTATCAGAGCTAAGTAATATCAATCCAATTTTAAATGACTGTTACGCTCTATCATTTTCGGAGGCTTGAAAGGTAGCTTAAGAATTTTACATAAATAGAGCAAATAATTAATTACTGGAAATGCATAGGAAACAAAATGACTATTCATAGAACCAAATACAAACATTCCATTAGAAAGTAAAAAAATTAATGGAGATATATATATATATATATATATATATATATATATATATATGTATGTATATGTAAAATTTAAAGAACAAACAGCAAATAAATGAAAATTAGAAGCACAAACAAACAGGAAACAAACCCAAAATATTCTCCTATTGAGTTTACCTTGGAGGCTACACTACTATCAAGAGCCTTTAAAAAAGCACAAGGTGAATATTTTGTTCCTGGTATACAAATTAATATCCTTAAGTCCACCAATACCACTATAGATTTTGTGCAATTATGAAATTCACTTCAGGCATCTGATCAGTAAGTACTTCACTGCTAGTACTATCTATGTGAAATAGCAGATAGAGTGTGAAACAAAGCAATGCAAGCACTTATATGAAATTTGGATCCACGTTAAATCTGGCTTCATGCATAACTGTATTAGAATTGCCAAATTGCCAGTTTTTTCTTTACAATATTTATTTTACTTTTATCAAGACTAAGTGCTTTAACTATGAACAATGGTAATTAGCAAATTTCTTTAATTTTCTAACAGCTTTTAAAGAATATTTTACTATTTAAACGTGTGCAATTTTCTATTTTCTCTGTATGTGCATGAAGATAGACACACAAAAACAGAAAAGAAAAAGTACATATGCCTTGCACACACCATCTATAACATGCTTGGACTTTCTGTTTTGTCCTAGGACAAAAATTTACCATACAAGTTTCTCATACACAATGATTCTCGTTTTTAAATAATCTTCTTTACAAAAAATACATCTGCATATTTATAATTTTCTTCACATCTCTTTCCCCTACTTACTGGTTCCTTTCTACCTTATTTCATAAATGACTTTTCCAAGTCCATTATTTGAGTTAATATTTAGATAACTTTTGAAGTAGACAAAATTAGTCTTTTTCTCAATAAGAACATATCTTTTTGGCACATTTTACATACCAAGTTATACATTAACTACAATTCTTGTTCTTAGTAACCTTAAATTTTCCATAAAAACCTAGGAAGCAAGAAATACTGAACTATCAGATATTAGCATTTTATATATAAGAGCATTCCACAATTTTGAAAATGACCCAGATATCCAAGGAGCATCAAAAATAATTTAAAAATTTTTAATTGCATTTATTCCATCTACATATCATTCATATTTAGCAGCTTATCTAGATTACATAAGAGAACTGACATATTAGACAAAGCTGGTCATCATTTCCTTGTTAACCATTTTATAACCTGTGAATATCAGATGTTCACCTAAGTAGGAACGTGAAATTTAACTACCTGGGTATTTTCACAGATAACACAGAAGATTCTGCTGTTTTCATTAAGCCAACAACATTAAATTAGTCTTACTTATCAAAAAAAGTCACACAAAGGTCATTTTGTTTTGGCTGGGTTTATAGTTTTATAACCTTCTATGCCAAGCCCTCACACTTCAAAATATCTAGCAGAGACAAACCTAAACCATGTATGTATACTGATGATTCTAAAAACATTCCTATTTTTATCTTACCAACAATTTTAATGTCTTGAAAATTGACTGGACTTATTTCCTGAATTTATGAGTGCTTTTTTATTTATAAGTTAATTTGGTAGTCACAACATATAATAAATGTATGTAAACAAAAATACATCTAAATATGTATACACCCAGAAAGATCCAGTAGCTTTTACCTTGGAACTCTAGCCATGAGATAGCAATACAAACTCACCAGATGATGAACATGCTCACGTGGCTAAACTTTGCCTCCATAGGTAATCCAAACAAAGCTGTGAACCAAAATTTTGGGTAAAGCAGTTTCCATGGCAGTTTGATTTTTAAAGGCCAAACCTCCCAAGACTCCAAAGAATACTCAGGCCAAACAACACCACAGAAGGGCATCTTGTGTTAATCAGGCCCAACTCTGTTTTGAACAGCACATAAAAGACAGGAGAAACAAAATTCTATCCACTTTCTCATTTGGCAGCAAAATAAGACCCATGGAGAGGCCATACTTCTCCAGATTGCAAAGAATACAAAGCCAAACAGTATTATAAAATATTATCAGTTTATCAAATTCTGAGTTATCTTGACTATATTGACATATAAACAATCACCAAAACACAATCCAACTGCTGCAGTAACCATCAAGCACCAAGAGGTTCCAAACTGAAACAGTTGGGCTGCTTTCCTCTCTCAATTGGTTGGGCTTGTTCAACCTGCAAATGGAGAATTTCCCAAATGGAGAATTTCCCAAATGGAGAGAAGCAGATCCTACTGTCTGGTACCCACAAGTGACATTCACCAGACCAGATGCAGATGACAAATTCCAAAGGCTGTTCTTGCTAGGCAATCAGGAACTTGGTTGGGGATGGGAGTGGCAGGATAAGAAAGAGATCAAAATCCACCTCCAGCCAAAAAAGGGTCAGGTAGCTGCTCAAGAGGGCTTCTCAATCTCCTGTCCCATGGCAGCCAAGCTACAAGCAACATGTTCCCAGTCAAGGAACCAAAATCTGTTACCAAAACACCAGGTATTTGGTCTAGGTGTGCTGCTCACCATACAGAAAGACAATCACTGAGACAACGAGTATTGCCAGGGAAGAAGGCATTAATCAGTTGCTGCAGCTTATGAGATAGGAGATCAGTCTCAAATCCATCTTCCTGACCAACAAAAATTGGGATTTATATAGTGGGAAGGAATGTAACTACAAGCAGGTAAACAAGAAATAGGAAAGAATAAGTAAATCATGAGGGATAAAGGGTCTGGCTTCTACTTGTCTGGATGTTGTGATCTGGTGAGTTTCAGTCCCTTGATATTATCTGGGAGGCCTGTGGGCCAGTTTCCTGAGGAAGGTACTCAGATAAGACAAATATTAGTTTAAAGCTTTAAGACTAGGAGGGTCAATTTCTATGTTTGTTTTAAAAGACTGTAAACATCAGTTCTCTAGGACAATTGGGTTGGTTTCACTATGAGGGTAGCCATTTGTTCAGAGTTCCTCAGAACTGGTCATGTACTCTCCCTCCTTGATAATGCTTGTGAGTAGAACTAATTGAGTCTAGGAACTTCTTTTGCACCATCCTCAAATCCAGACTCAGTCTTCTGGGACTCTGTGTATGAGACATTAAGTTAGTTCATCCTAAGTCAATGAAGGAAGATGCTTAGAGATACGTCTTCTCAACTAACTTGCATACGACTTCAGTTCACTCTCCTTTCCTTTTATTTCTGGACCTGAGGTATCTTCTTAGTCAGTATACTCCAAAATATAATCATTTTTATATTGGATATAATCTATTATAATCCAAGTGCTCCTCTATATCTCTTATGAGTCTTGTGGTCTAATTGCCTTTCATGTCCTTTAAAGAATTGGGTTCTGTTAAACTACAAATAAAAATTTATACAAACAGAATTCAAATGTGAGGTTTACCACTTTTGGTATCATAATGGACTCTTTAATATTAATAATCATTCTTGGGGTGGAATAGAGAAAGACAGAGAAAAAGTCCCAAGAATGAACAAACAATACTATTAAAAAAAGAAATGGTAAATTTTAATATAGCTGCAAAAAAAAAGTTATTTCTTTTTAAAGGTTTAGGAAAAAGCACATTGTATTGTGATCTACCTTCATAATTTTACTACAGTAAATGTGAAATGATATTTTCATGATTCTCCTCTTTTCAAGCACTTAGTAAAATGAATATATTTTGAATCTCAATTCAAAGGAAATCTTCACTAGTCCCATTGAGGCAATCTGGCTGATCAGCAACATTTGGTGCAAATAGTAATCAAGCTTAAAAATTATGCAAAACATTCTTCACTTCTCAAGAATTTCACTGAATTATTTAAAACTCAGTGGTGGAAACAAGCAGCAGCTGTGGTGTGAAGGGAGTGGGGATTTGCAACGAGGCACAAAGGATTGGAATGCTCAGTAAGTATAACTCATGTAGTTGCACATCCTTTCTCTAGCTAGACCCTGGTAAAATCATGCTGAAATCTAACTGTGCAACACACATCATTTACCCAAAAAGGATTTTTTTTTTTGTTTTCAAGTAAAAAGTGTTTGTCACAGTATCTTGCCATCTGCTTAAAACTTTCAAGCAATATTACATAACTCCATCTCATTTGTATGGGCTGTGTATTGACGTGATGTTAACTGCATAATGTGTTAATGGCTGAAATGTATAGCAATGGCATAGACCCAAATGGCACCAAAGCAAGAATCAGCATTATACTCTTCCCAAAAGATTGTCACTTTGTGGAAAACAGTGTATGATAAGTTAGACAACAAAAATAAAATAATAAAGAAGAAAGCAAAAACAAAAGCAAAAAACTTAAGGAGTTATTGTAAAGCTAAATATTACTTTCAGTTATATCGAGAATATAGTAGAGATGGCAGAGACTTGGCTGTCTTGACACATTCTTTGTTGCATAGCAATCAGTAACAAAATTCCATAAGATAAACACATGTAACTATAGTGATGTTTCTGCTTTTGCTTCTATCAAAATCCCAAGTTAGACAGAAAAAGATGAAGGTGAGTAGAAATGCATATTGACCTGTTTGCCACACTTATGTTACTCTATTGGCCTATGATCTTGAGAGCCACCTATCAATTATACTTTCAACAGGATGATAATAGGCTAATGTCTTTGCTATTTCTTCAGACCATCGCACACTCTCTCCAAAAGTAGATAACATTTCTATGATTCACATTTTTGTCTCAAGTTAGAAGATACGTTAAATCAACTGGGTGTATATTTATAAAAATTTTATTATACAGTCTTGGAACTTTGAGATAACCAGAAGAGTAAAACATGGACCCTCTCTAAAAAGAATTTAAAATCTTGTTTGTAAATATGTGTGATTTAGCAAACCAGACACCTGCAGCTATTGACCATTAAAGAATGCCCATGTTGCACATAAATTTAATGATAATAAACATTTCAAAATTTAAACTTTTGAGTAATATATATTAAAACTGATAGAAAGGAATATATTTTCCTTGTTGATATGTTAGGAAATGCATTCTTCTGTGAATAGGTATAAACATGTCCAAAAGGTGAGGATTCTTTTCAAGCCTCCTTATACATTGGGGACGAAGAGGAGATAAAAATAGTCAAGGTGGCCAGGCACGGTGGCTCATGCCTATAATCCCAGCACTTTGGGAGACAGAGGTGGGCAGATCACGAGGTCGGGAGATCGAGACCATCCTGGCTAACACAATGAAACCCCGACTCTACTAAAAATAGAAAAAAAAATTTAGCCGGGTGTGGTGGTGTGCACTTGTAGTCCCAGCTCCTCGGGAGGCTGAGGCAGGAGAATTGCTTGAACCTGGGAGGTGAAGGTTGCAGTAAGCCGAGATCGTGCCACTGCACTCCAGCCTGAGTGACAGAGTGAGACTTCATCTCAAAAAAAAAAAAAAACAAAATTCAAGGTTATGAGATTACTCCATTAATTTGAGAAGAAAAATTAAAAGACGTTTCTCCTGGCCTGAGTATGACTTGCCAAACAACTTCTTGCTTTGTGGATTCTCTCTCTTAATGGAGGAGACAAAAAAAAATGAGCAGTTGAGAGAATGAATAAGAAAGGAAATTATTATTGGAAAGAAAGTAGGCATCTTGGACATCTTAAATGGAAATAAAGAGAAGAAAGCGGGAAGACCTGGTTGCAAAGAGAGCTTCAGAGAGATCATAAGAATTGGTAAAGCTGAGCTCAACAGTAACTTACTTAGCTCTATCCCAAAGATAGTCAGTTAAATAAAGAGGCTCACAGGATGCATTTTCTCTCTCTTTCATGCTTTTCTTTTTCAAGGAAGCGCCTCTATTATATGTTGTCTCACAGAGCATGTGGTTAGTCATATTCCAAGTAATTTTGCTTGAAATAATATGGTTTTATTGAAAACACGAGCAGGAAACAAGAAGTGTTTATGTCTCAGATGAGGATTGTCATAAACATTTTGCACAATTTCACTGTATGACGTGTCTACTCTAAGTGTATGTGACATTCTAAATTGCCTGTGGGAAAGCATGAGACCAAAGAGAAATTAAAGTAATTCCTAAACTAGAGGGAAAGCCTAAGCCTTTACTCATTTTATTTTACATTGTGAATAAAATAGCTTGCTGTCTTTTAAACTTCTAAAGCCACAGTGATAGCGATATTTTTATTTTTTATCTTTATACACTTAAAGTGTGTTCTTTTTAACATTTCAAAAAGAAAGAGTTATAGAGGGCAGAGTTGTGGAAAAAGTATTTATATTGATATAGTATGCTAAAATTTGCAGATTACTTTTACACGCATAACATAGTTTAATAATTATAATCACCGTATAAGTTAGTATTAACGTCTTAGTTTTACTGATGATAACGGAAGAGATTAAATTATTTGCCCAAGGTATCCTAAATAAATACTGGCAAAGTCTGGATATAACCCAGCGCTTCTGACTCCATGTTTGATAGTTTTTCTACCACAATGTGTGCTATTTTGCTCCTTTCTGCCTTCGTTTCTCCACTCTCTTTTAAGCCATCAGTAACATCTGTTAACACTATTTTTCCCCCCTCTTTGCATGATTTGCCCTTTTTCATAGAGCAGACTCATAAGTAGCAGATTGTTTTAATGTTCTGACCCTTAGCCAACTCAAACATGATACTAGTAGAGTAAACCTACACCTTCATTGATTCCTTGATGTATTTTACATTAATAAGAATGCCAGAAGAGTCTCAGCAAAGCAGCTATCTGGCTAAATGAATTTAATTTTCCCTAAGGAAATAGACACAGTGAGATAGAACAAGCCTTAAAATCTTAGGCCACAGGGCTCATTAGACACATCCATACAAAACTGAAACTTTTCCTTATTTTTGTTCCTTTTTTTATTCTTCCTAAGTTCCCACATAGTACTTCTCTCCAGATTTTGCTTTTATAGGTTGCTTCTATTTTTCACCCTTTTTCTTCCCAGATACCCATTTTGCTCTGTTTTTAATCTGTTTCTAAAATATATTGTAGCTTTGCAAACTAATATATCACACTTTTTTATTGCATGGTCTCTTTTCCAGTCATTGATTCAGCAAATATTTGCTGTGTAGTCGAATTTGTGCTATGCATTAGTGACAAAAACACGTTATCTTTTAAAAGTTATTTCAAGTCACTTTCCCTAATTTAGAGAGAAATATAAATGCAAGTTGTTGTGCAGCTTGTTAATAGACAGTGTAAAAAGAGCTTCAGAAACAATGAGAGTGGCAGGAGGCAACCAAATGTCTGGTTAGATAGGGACGGGTCCCAGTGAAACCCCACCTCCAAGCTGAAGGCAGTTTAAAGCCTGAAAGCCAAGCCACAAGTTAAATCCTCAGACAGGCTTAAGAGCTTGTCTTCCTGTTTGGAGTGTTTTCCTCTGATTGGTCCTCATCCTTCACCTATTTTACACATACCTACCCTTTCCTAATTGGTTTTCTACATTGTCATGCCCACCTTTGAGTGGTGTCTTTGTCTTAAACTTTTTTTGCATACTCACATACCAATCAGCATGCACTCCCCATTCTAAGTTCATAAAAGGCCCCAGAACCCAACCACATGGGTGACTTTCCTGCCTTTGGGTAGGGAAACCAACTCCACATCCTCTCTCTGCTGAAAGCTGTTTTCATCACTCAATAAAATTCTTCTCTGCCTCCTCATCCTTCAATGTCCCCTGTATCCTCATTCTTCTTGGGTGCAATATAAGAGCTTAGGAACTGCCAAATGCAGGTTCAAACTATAACACAGGTGAGCTGGGGCACGCCAGCGTGACCAACTGAGGTCCTGGTGGGGTGTTGTGGCCAGGGGTCCCTGGCTTACAAAGTGACCAAGAAGAAAAATCCTACATCAACAGTAAAGGGAATTTATTAAAGGGAAGATGGATGTGGATGAGGTGTTACGAGGATTAGCATTTGAACTGACCATAAAGGTAGAATTGGGAGATTGCAAAAATGTGGCACTCCAGAGAGAGGCAGCACAATAAGTAAAGCCGGAGAACACAGAAGAGCATTATGATTTTAAACGATGACTGAACTATACATTTTTGGAAGTGACAGAAGACAAAGTCCAAAGGGTATGTAAGAGCCAGATTGCAAACATACTTTATGGCACATCAAGAAGCAAATCATTTATCAATGTGGATACAGTAACAAAGTAAAAAGGATCTACTTAAGGATTTTTTTAAAGGAAATAACATAATTAGCTATACATATTGAAAAGGTGGATTGGTGCCAGTGGAGAGGATGAATTGGTGAAGGGGAGAGCTAGGAGGCAGAAGAAAAAAGTTAGGAAGTAGTTATATCCAGTTATGTCATGATGAGAATTTTAACTATGGCAGAAGCTAAAGATAAGCATTAGATCACTTTCATTTTAAGGAAACTAAAGTGTGTGTAATATACTTGAAGAACACAGAAGACAATATTGTTGATTCTGACAGGGGAAAGGTTGGGTTCAAAGAAAAAGTCACAGGCTATAGGAAACTTATAATTCAGTAGGATTATCAAAGTGAATGACTGCCACTCTGAATGGCATTATATTGATGGAGGAGAAAATGTGGTGAAGTTGTTCTGAAGATGGAGATGTCATGTGTCACCTAGGATAATAATTGATAGGAAAGGTGACATTTGCAGGTGGTAAAACAACTGCGAGTCAGAAATTCTTGGTTTCTGGAGGAAAACCTCTCAGTGGAGAGAGATTGCATTCTCTTGTGCAAATTCTCAAACCCAAAGGGAAACTGACATTTTATCACTGTCTAAAAGACACACCAAGGCTAAAACATATTAGCTGATGCATTAGAGCTTAGTGGTATCAGCAGCTAAACTTCCAAGAGTTTGGAATCCTCAGAGTTCTCTCCTGAAGGGAGATGGCAGTTTGTACCTTCTTTCAGACAGGAACCACGGAATACACATTATTCATTTAAGGACGAGACCAAACATGGAGATTATAAAGACATTCAAGCAGATAATTCAAGATTCTTACCCTGCCCCCCCAAAAAAACTAGCTCTCAAGGGTCACTAAGAGAGAAATCTGTAAAATATCTTAAAGCATTTCAGGAGGTAGCTGCCAATGTAGAAGCTGAAAATGATATTGCTGGGATAATCATGTCAAAAAGTAGACTCCTGCAGAGAACTCACTGAGGCAAAAGCAAAACAGATGTGTTTGACAAGTTGGAAAATGGCAGCAAAAGAATAAAACATTAAATTTGTAAATTTATATAAAAATCAACTTCCCTAAGCGTTTTCCATTAAGTATTTCTGAGTAAAGTAAAAGAACTTCTTAGAAAGAAAAATGACATTGTATTTTTAAGGGCTTAGGACAAAAATAATTAAATAAATGAAACTAGTTTAAAATCATAGACTTTAGGTATTAAAACTTTCCTTAGCATCATTTAGTCTACCAATATGGAGAGTAGAAATATTACTAGAACCCATATATATGACCAGAAGAAAAAATTAAATGGAGCAGGGAAGAAAGCCGATATGTATTAAATAGCTACTATGGCCTGAACACTTTACTAGATGTTTTTACGTATGTTTTCTCATTTAATCTTCATAGAAGTCATGTAAAATAGAAATTATTCTCCCTATTACATAGGGAATGTGACTGAAGCTGAGAGAGGTTAAGTAAATGTATTTATTTATATAGCTATCTTGTTCCAGAAAAGATTTCAAGTGTATAAGAGTGATTAAAAATACTTACAGTATGGTAAAAACTACACCAATTTTAAAGTGGTCAGACGAATGCTAAAAATAATCATATCAAGCAAAAAATACATAAAACTACATTATTCAATAAATCTAAAAATGGTTTAGTTGAATACATCTCTGTGATAAGGACAAATAAATATGATGCTTCCCCTTTTTATGGCTCCAATCCTAACCAGAGAATTCTTTTTCAGAATTTCTAGAAAAGTTTCATTAACTATAGAAAATCCTCTAGTTCTTTGTTCAGTAAGTTCTTGTGGGCATCTAGGATTCAGTAAGAAAGTCAAAGCAGTACTTTCAGGTATGGCTACTACCTAATAGTACACATAAAGCTAGCTGCATTTTGTAAACCAGGTTTCAACAGGATTTGTGAGAAGAGTATGGTTGAAGGTTTGGTTGATGGGAAATTATATCTGGCTTTAGAGAAATACAAATTCTGCCTAGAATATGCAGGAAATATTAAGAAAAAAAATATTGCTAATTTTAGGAGTCATCTGTGTCCAATTCATGCATGGAAAAGAAATAATAGACTATGACTTAGGGAATGTTAAATAAGTTGTAAGACTGGATACACACCCCCCCCCCCACAAACACACGTATGTATAGCCATATAAAAAAGAGAGACTTACTCCTTGAATTTTATCTGAAATTGTACGTCAAAGGAAAGAGCTTCAATAGATCCACTCTGGGATTATGGGAGAAGAGTCTTAGATTAATAAAGTTAGGTGAGGGGTACCAGAATAAAATAAAACCGAGGGCATAGATGAGCTGAGTAAACCCGAGGCAAAAATATGTCTTTTTTAAGGGAGCCTGTAATGAATACTAGATTATGTTCCTGACTGGCTGCCTCCACAAATATTTAGCCAATAATTTCCTGGAGGGATCCTATATCAAGGGTGAAATTAAAAAAAAAAACTCTCCAGTGTATAATTTACAATATCTAGTATATATATATACACACATACACATACATATATACATATATACATATATAGTACATATATACATATATAGTACATACATATATATGTATATATATACTAGATATTGCAAATTATACACTATTATATATATATAGTATTGAAATACAAAGAAACAATACAATTAAATCAGACTTTGATAACAATAGAATCTTCAAATATTTGGAAATATGCAACACATTTCTAAAGCCAAAAGTCAAAGAAGAAATCACAACAGAAATTAGATTTTGCATTGAGTGATAATACAAATGCAACATATCAAAAATGATGAAAGGCCACTAAAGTAGGACATAGAGAAAAAAATTATACCTTAAAATTCTATATTAGAAAAGAAAAAAGGTTTAAAATCAATGTCTTAGGCTTCCATCTTAAGCGGCTAGTTTAAAAGAGATTAAAGTAACACAATGGTAATAAATAAAAATAACAGGGAAAAACAATAAAAGTGAAAATAGAGAGAAAAACCAACAAATCAAAAGGTGGTTGTTTGAAAAGATTAAATTTATAAACATCTAGGCAGATTAACCAAAAGAAAGAAAAAAAAACACAAATTGCCATTATCAAGTTAATAGAGGTGTCATTATCACAAACCTTAAAGACAATAAAAGGATAAGGGAATATTATGAAAATTTTTATGCCAATAAATTTACATTTTTATGTCAAAGAATTCAGCAAATCCTTTGAGATAGCAACTTACCATAAACAATGTAAAATCTTCCCTGAAAGAAAAATTCAGCAACAAATAGTTTCACTAGTCTATTCTACCAGACGTGTAATGAAGAAATAATACAAATTCTGAACTTTTTTTGGAAAATCTAAAAGGAAGTAATACTTCCTAACTTGTTTTATGAGGCAAACAATCTGACAAGGACAGTAAAGGAAAAAGAGAGACAATAGCCATAAAGAAATAGAGAAAAAAAATGCTTAGAAAAATACCAGGAAAGCAAATTCAAAAATTCATAAGAAAGAAAATTCACCCAAATCAAGTGAGGTTTGGCACAAGAAAGCAAGAATAGTTTAATTTTCAAAATGAGTCAATGTAACTAATCACACTAAAAACTAAAGGAGAAAAACTATATGATGATTTTAATATTAAATAAAATGCTAGGGGGAAAGAAGAAATTGTATATGAGGAAAATATTCCTACCATAATTCAGCAATTGATTGGAGCCTAAAAGATGACATTAAATATGGGAGTGAGAAGAAAGGGTGGTTTCACAATCTAAATAAAATATAACAAAAAAAAAATCTAGTAATGACTGAGGAGGTGGCAACTAAAACAATCATCCTCAATTGCTGTAAGAATTCAAATAAACACAAAGTCTGTGAAAACTGTCAGAATTAAAATAGAGTCATTTGTATTAAAAAATAATAATAGTAATAAATAACCCTGACTAATAGAGCTTGGAAGACTATAAAGAGAGGGCTCTCATGAACAAATGCTTGACTACAAGAATTATCACAAAAGACTGCAAAAACCAAAATCATGCACAAAGGCCATTATAACCTTACACAAAAATTACTTCTGTGAGAACATGTGCCCAACAAATGCTTGTCTAACCCCAGGCTGGTGCCATCCTTGCTATTGATTCCTTTTAGCCAAAGATAATTGTACTCAAAATATTTACATAAGCCTCATTTTTTTCTTTAAAACCTTGTCTTCCTTTACTTCTCTGAAAACACAGTTTACTATGGGATGTGTATTCCCATTGCAATAACCTATTCCTGAATAAACACAATTTTCTTCTAAAGAGCTTCTCTCTATTGTTATTTAGGTTGACATAAATGGTGCCCAGAGAATGATGTGAAACAAATCACTCTGGGAAGGAATCAGCGATTTTTAGAACTGATGTGCAATATTCTCTTGAGCTCTTTGAGCTCTCTGTTTCCACATTTCACCTCTTCTGCCCTGGTGAGTCTTCTTTCAGGCTGAGCCTCCTTATTTTTTGGTAGAGGCTTTTTTTAACTTTGAGATTTGTTTTAGTTGTAAGGCAAACTTAATAAAGAACCTTGTGTGGCAGGATATTTTTGGTGCCGCTTCACCAGCCAGAGACCTACACTACTGGTGACACCCCTGCCCAGGGCCTCACTCAGTTCCAGGCTTGCCACAGAAAGTACCCTGCTCACTCAGCCTGACAGGCTGCACTTGGTCTGTGCTCCAGCCCAGATCCTTCACTCAGCATAGGATCCACGCTCAGCCCGTGGCTTGGTGGGGTAAGCTGCAACCTGCTTCTGCCTTGGACGCTGGCATCTAGATAAGGGGAACAAAGTAGCATCCAAAAAACTTGGAGACATCAGCGACCCCAGAGCCCCAAAGGAGGTGTTACAGTGTGTTAACAGCTCTTTCAGTCCCACTGTCCACAGCCTGACACATGGGGGTGTGTGGCACCCAGCAGCTCCCTCTCCCATTCTTGGTGAGCAGGAAGGGAGTGCTACAGGGTTACAGCTCTGTTCACACTCACCATTTGGAGGGTCCCGAGTTCTTGTCCCACATCCAAGAAGAATGAGGTTATGCTGACAGCTGGCTGGTAAGCAAGGCAAAGAGTTTTATTGAATGATGAAACAACTGTCAGCAAAGAGGGGGACCTGAGTTGGGCAGCCCCCTGCCTAAAGTTGGGTAGTATTTCAAAGTGTGGCTGAGTCTGGGGTTTTTATAGACACAAAATGGGGTGTTCCAAGCCATAGGTAGCATTGAAAAAGGCAATATTCAATTGGTTAAAAAGCATTATTCAGAAAGAACCAATCAGGACAGAGCAAGCAAACAGGAATAGAACTTCTCACTCTGGATCACAGGCTTCATCCTGAACCAGCAGCCTAGTTTTCAAGCTTTGGGCTGTTTTTGGCTTGAAGGTGTGGTTTTACTGGGGACCTGTCCTTCTCTGCATAGGGATTTTGTCTGTCTCCTGCCACTATCAGTTTCCTTCCACCTGGATGATAAAATACTTTTTGACTTTTCTGGCAAGTCCTTTCTTGTATAAAAACAAGTGTCCTTATAACTTTAATACTCTGGTTACTACAGAATTACATTCTCTCTCTGATGAATGTCTTTTTTGGTGAATTTACTTTTGGTTCTTTCTGCATGCCTAATTTAATATTTTCTTTGTTCTGCATGCCTGGGTAAAAATTATGGCATTCTGATTTTGATTTGGTAGCACATGCCTATACAGGATTTGGCTTTTTTCCCTTGTTTGTTTCTGAAACTCTTCTGAGAGCAAAAATAAGCATTTTAAATGGTAGGTGCAGCTAAAAGACATTAAGACAGTCATCACCATTTAAAACACCAGCCCAAGCTCCTGACAGTCTGACAGGATTTGTAGGATTTTCTTTGCTTTTAGGAGATCAATAAAAAATGAAATGAGATTCTCAAACATTAAGGCATACCAGGTTTTCTGAGACTCCAGCTTGCTACAAAGCTTTTCCTTCATGTACATTTTGGATCAATGGCCATCACAGGGATCATTTGAGTTTCCCAAGCTTGTTTTTTCTTAGTATCAAATTAGGAAAGTACAACTGTACAGTTAACATGTAGAGTCTTATAAGTTCTCTATCTCTCTATTTTTTTCTGCCTAAGTTTAATCAGCTGACTTTTCTGGAGGTGTTGAGATAAAACTCACTGCTAATGGCATTCCAACCAAGGTTTTTTTTTTTTTTTTTTTTTTTTTTTTTTAAAGGCTTAAAAGGCTTTCAAATTAATGGCTTTATAAATGACAACAGCTCCATGGTAGCCAATAACTTAGGCCTAGGAGTCATCCCTTTTGATGTAAATTTAAGTTTGCTAGACTAACAATTAATTAGAGTGAGTTAATTAAAGGATTAATAGTCTAAAAAGAACTGAATAAATGTTTATAAGAGTTAGGCTCTCAGACCAAACAGGTCAAAATCTTGGACTCAGAGCAATAATATAAGGTATCCCTGTCCAACGTAAAAATTGCTTTGTCTGCAGGATTTTTAGGGGGAAAAACCCTAAAAACCTGCTACAGTGCTTCCTTGCCCATGTTGACTAGTCAAGCAAACCAAACTGACAAAAGATAGATTTATATAGATAGATGTATTATTAAGGCTACTTCGATATTTTGTTTTTTTTATATAATTCAGCCACTCCTACCTAAAATGTAAACATTGAAATTTTAACTCTAAATTCATCTGAAACTGAAAGAAAAAGGACAGAAAAAGTGAAAGAGGTTTTTTTTGTTGTTGTTGTTCTCTGTTTTTTGAGACAGGGTCTTGCTCTGTCACGCAGGGTGAAATGCAGTGGAACCATCATGACTCACTACAGCTTCAGCCTCCCAGACTCAAGTGATCCTCCCACCTCAGCTTGTTGAGTAGATGGGACTACAGATGCACATCACCATGCCCAGCTAACTTTTTATTTTTTGCAGAAGCAGGATCTCACCATATTTTCCAGGCTGGTATCTAACTTCTGGGCTCAAGTGATCTACCTAACTTGGCCTCCCAAAGTGCTGGATTATAGGCATGAACCACCATGACCTGATGAAAGAAATTTTTTTAAACCAAACTGTTTTACCCAAAATTTTAATCCAGAGCTTTCATTAGATGACATATCAGAGAAAATAAAGTTGAGCCATATAAACATGTCTCTTTTAGCCAGAAATATAATTTAGATTCAATACTCTTTTATAAACTGAGTTTTTATTACTATCTATCTCATTACTGAAGTCCTAAATTAAAGCAATAAGATCTTTGTGTGTGTATATATGTTGGATGTGTTGACACATAAGTACATATGTTATGTTGTATGATTTGTCTATATAGTAAATTTTGGCATAGTTGGCCAGAAATCCCTTAAAAAGTTCTATTCAGACTGGCTTAATTAGTGCTAATGTAAATTATATAGTAATTCTCCCAATTATCTTGTACTTCACATGACTTAAGTAAACCTTTAAGAAATAGCTTGTTTTTGGCCGGGCGCGGTGGCTCACGCCTGTAATCCCAGCACTTTGGGAGGCCGAGGCGGGTGGATCATGAGGTCAGGAGATCGAGACCATCCTGGCTAACAAGGTGAAACCCCGTCTCTACTAAAAATACAAAAAATTAGCCGGGCGCGGTGGCGGGCGCCTGTAGTCCCAGCTACTCGGGAGGCTGAGGCAGGAGAATGGCGTGAACCCGGGAAGCGGAGCTTGCAGTGAGCCGAGATCCCGCCACTGCAGTCCGCAGTCCGGCCTGGGCGACAGAGTGAGACTCCGTCTCAAAAAAAAAAAAAAAAAAAAAAAAAAAAAGAAATAGCTTGTTTTTAAAGTATTGGTAAAATAAAAATAGAAATGTTTACAAATTGTCAGCATATATTTTTGTCTGGAGTTAATGATGGAACAGTTTTATATTTGTCTCTGCTAAACTTTTTAAAGTTGTAAAACTGTGAACCCAACTTAAAAAGAGAACAATCTTTGTTCATGTAACACTTTGATTTAGTATTGATTTAATAAAAACAACCTATCTTCTGAGTTATTGGTAAAATACCCATATGTTTAACTTCAAGGTTCTTAACTTAAGTGAACACCTGATATTTATAGTCTATAAAAATGGTTAACAGAGAAATAACTTGAAATGATGACTAGTTAGCTCTAATATATCAGTTTTCATAAGTAATCTAAGGGTGATTGTTAAAATTAAACAAATTCAGTCAATTTAAATGGAATAAACATTTATAATAAAATTTTCATGTAATTTGAAATCTTGAAGTTATGTTAAATTAAATAATAGACACTCATTAAATGCCTGTGTCATTTTCAAGTAAGATTTTTAAAACTTAGGCTGAAGAGCTTTAACAGGTAAGTGTGCATGATAACAGAAAGCTGAAATCTGGCCCGATTTCGTTAGAAAAAGGATAACTTAAGATATTTTATTATTTCATAGATAAAATTGTGAAGAAGCAAACCAAAGCAGAAATATGTTTTTTGCTAATCTTTCTTCTAATTCTTTACGTTACTTAATTTAAATAATTTTAGACCTGTGTGGAGGTTATTGGTGAACCCCAAATGACAAAACTAGTCCTTAATATTTATCTGTAATAATACATGGTGATTAAATGCTCAATAAAGGTGTTGAATAAAAGAATAAAGTAATTACATTTATTAGAATCCTTTGGCGGTGAATTTATAATATTTTAATTTTAAAACCTTTAAGGTTAATTAAACAAACTACACTGACCAGTTTTGTATCCTTGAGAGAAAAAGATATGTTAAAAAAATATACATACACAAAAATACATAAGTGCATATGTATAAATAAATGTATATATGCTTTCTCTTCTGTCTTATTTTCCCTTGAATTTAAATTTATTTTTTTATGTATATATAATGGAAAATAAATGTACATTTGATTAAAGAAATACATGCTTATTATGAACTTATATGCTTCTTTTTTCCATTTTTATAAGATTTACTATGTTGTCTTTTATGTAAATTACAGATATAATATAAATTTGCATCATTAAGAACTTTTGATTGTATAATTTATGGCTGTAGTACAGAAAGAAATCTGCAAGTCAGTATTTACCCCACTTAAATGTGAGCTCCACATTCCTCCAACATTCACACATTCACATATACACAATATAATCTAAATTATAAAAAGCAAGATTTTCTATTTTGCTCAGCAGTTTTCTCAATGTCCAATACATTTTCTGAAACACAGTGTTACATAATAATTTGAGTTAATTAAAAAATAAAAAATAAGCATAGACTCTGTATATGTCATCAGAAAGCCAGGATCAGATAGGGTATAAACTTTGTTTTTTTGTTGGATGGAAGTCAGTGTTGTCCACAAAGGAGATGCAGCTTAAATGATGAATTTAAAAGAATTCTGAGCCAAGCACAGTGGTGTGTTCCTGTGGTCCCAACTACTCTGGAAAGAGATGCAAGAGTATCACTTGAGTCCAGGAGTCTGAGTAGTATAATGAATATAATGTGACCACACCTGTGAGTAGTCACTGCACTCAAGCCTGGGCAACATAGAAAAACCCCACCTCAAAAAAAAAAAAAAAAAATTGCTGAAAACGGTAAATGGCCAAATAACATAAGGCTGGGTTATCAAACAGTTGTGGATATAGGAGAGAGGAAAAATACTGGAAAGTCAGAAAGATAAAGAAAGAAAATTTTATTTGTTCTCCCAACATTATGTCATTCTAGTTTATTGCTGTATCTTTCATATTTGGGACTTCTAGGTTTGTTAAAGGGTTTCTATGCAGAAAAAAAATTTCTGTTTATGAAAGTGTTATACTTTTCTACTTATAAAAATAGGACAAAGTTCTACTAGGCATGTCCAAAAGAGCTTGCCAATAGACACACTTTATAGTGCTCTGCAATAGAACTTTGCAGTAGAACTTTCTGCAATAATGGACACATTTTTTATTATCCAGTATGGTAGTCAATAACTACATGTGGCTATTGAGCCCCTGAAATGTAGCTAGTAGGACAGAGGAAATAAAATCTTGATTTTATTTTAATTAAACTTAAATGTAAACCGACACACATGGCTAATGGTTACAAAATTGGAAAGAGTAGCTCTTGGTGATTAAAATGAGGCAAGTCTATTTTATTTGCAAAACACAGTCCAATACTACTATAAGGCAGAATCTGAAACATTTCTTCCAGCCAGCAACATCAGCGGACATTTAGTCTCTGGAATGAGTATAGATTTCAAAATGAATTAACAAGAAAGTGGCAACATAGCAATTAGTTGTGATAATACAGTAAGTTGACAGCGATGGATGGTAGATGTAATGTCTGGAAGATATGAAAAAAGCATTATTTTTATAGTAAAATATGTCAATACATAATTATTTTGTGCTGTGTATCAAAATAGTGATTCACAAATAATAAAATGTGATTTTAAACTAAATTTTCATGCTAATTTTAATAATTTATTTACTAAAGCTCCTTAATGATATTTGGAAAACTGATAATATCATGAGTTTACATAATCTTTTGCTTCTAAATGTAATTGTAAGACTTTGATTATTAAATGAAAAATATAATTGTTTATGTTCTTTTAGATTTCAACATTAAATTTTGGTTGCATTACTATGATTTTGATGACAATATCAAAAGTCTAAAGACTCCTCCTAGTTTAAAAGATCTACAAGAAATATTATTTAAAAACTGTATTCCTAATGTTTTCTTTTTTATTTTATTTTATTTTATTTTTCTATTATTATTATACTTTAATTTTTAGGGTACATGTGCACATTGTACAGGTTAGTTACATACGTATATATGTGCCATGCTGGTGCGCTGCACCCATTAACTCGTCATCTAGCATTAGGTATATCTCCCAAAGCTATCCCTCCCCCCTCCCCCCTCCCCCCACCCCACCACAGTCCCCAGAGTGTGATGTTCCCCTTCCTGTGTCCATGTGATCTCATTATTCAATTCCCACCTATGAGTGAGAATATGCGGTGTTTGGTTTTTTGTTCTTGAGATAGTTTACTGAGAATGATGGTTTCCAATTTCATCCATGTCCCTACAAAGGACATGAACTCATCATTTCTTATGGCTGCATAATATTCCATGGTGTATATGTGCCACATTTTCTTAATCCAGTCTATCATTGTTGGACATTTGGGTTGGTTCCAAGTTTTTGCTATTGTGAATAATGCTGCAAAAAACATACATGTGCATGTGTCTTTATACCAGCATGATTTATAGTCCTTTGGGTATATATCCAGTAATGGGATGGCTGGGTCAAATGGTATTTCTAGTTCTACATCCCTGAGGAATCGCCACACTGACTTTCACAATGGTTGAACTAGTTAACAGTCCCACCAACAGTGTAAAAGTGTTCCTATTTATCCACATCCTCTCCAGCACCTGTTGTTTCCTGACTTTTTAATGATTGCCATTCTAACTGGTGTGAGATGGTATCTCATTGTGGTTTGGATTTGCATTTCTCTGATGGCCAGTGATGGTGAGCACTTTTTCATGTGTTTTTCGGCTGCATAAATGTCTTCTTTTGAGAAGTGTCTGTTCATATCCTTCACCCACTTTTTGATGGGGTTGTTTGTTTTTTTCTTGTAAATTTGTTTGAGTTCATTGTAGATTCTGGATATTAGCCCTTTGTCAGATGAGTAGGTTGCAAAAATTTTCTCCCATGTTGTAGGTTGCCTGTTCACTCTGATGGTAGTTTCTTTTGCTGTGCAGAAGGTCTTTAGTTTAATTAGATCCCATTTGTCAATTTTGGCTTTTGTTGCCATTGCTTTTGGTGTTTTTGACATGAAGTCCTTGCCCATGCCTATGTCCTGAATGGTAATGCCTAGGTTTTCTTCTAGGGTTTTTATGGTTTTAGGTCTAACGTTTAAGTCTTTAATCCATCTTGAATTGATTTTTGTATAAGGTGTAAGGAAGGGATCAAGTTTCAGCTTTCTACATATGGCTAGCCAGTTTACCCAGCACCATTTATTAAATAGGGAATCCTTTCCCCATTGCTTGTTTTTCTCAGGTTTGTCAAAGATCAGATAGTTGTAGATATGTGGCGTTATTTCTGAGGGCTCTGTTCTGTTCCATTGATCTATATCTCTGTTTTGGTACCAGTACCATGCTGTTTTGGTTACTGTAGCCTTGTAGTATAGTTTGAAGTCAGGTAGTGTGATGCCTCCAGCTTTGTTCTTTTGGCTTAGGATTGACTTGGTGATGTGGGCTCCTTTTTGGTTCCATATGAACTTTAAAGTAGTTTTTTTCCAATTCTGTGAAGAAAAGCATTGGTAGCTTGATGGGGATGGCATTGAATCTGTAAATTACCTTGGGCAGTATGGCCATTTTCATGATATTGATTCTTCCTACCCATGAGCATGGAATGTTCTTCCATTTGTTTGTATCCTCTTTTATTTCCTTGAGCAGTGATTTGTAGTTCTCCTTGAGGAGGTCCTTCACATCCCTTGTAAGTTGGATTCCTAGGTATTTTATTCTCTTTGAAGCAATTGTGAATGGGAGTTCACTCATGATTTGGCTCTCTGTTTGTCTGTTGTTGGTGTATAAGAATGCTTGTGATTTTTGTACATTGATTTTGTTTCCTGAGACTTTGCTGAAGTTGCTTATCAGCTTAAGGAGATTTTGGGCTGAGACAATGGGGTTTTCTAGATATACAATCATATCATCTGCAAACAGGGACAATTTGACTTCCTCTTTTCCTAATTGAATACCCTTTGTTTCCTTCTCCTGCCTAATTGCCCTGGCTAGAACGTCCAACACTATGTTGAATAAGAGTGGTGAGAGAGGGCATCCCTGTCTTGTGCCAGTTTTCAAAGGGAATGCTTGCAGTTTTTGCCCATTCAGTATGATATTGGCTGTGGGTTTGTCATAGATAGCTCTTATTATTTTGAAATATGTCCCATCAATACCTAATTTATTGAGAGTTTTTAGCATGAAGGGTTGTTGAATTTTGTCAAAGGCCTTTTCTGCATCTATTGAGATAATCATGTGGTTTTTGTCTTTGGTACTGTTTATATGCTGGATTACACTTATTGATTTGCGTATATTGAACCAGCCATGCATCCCAGGGATGAAGCCCACTTGATCATGGTGGATAAGCTTTTTGATGTGCTGCTAGATTCGTTTTGCCCGTATTTTATTGAGGATTTTTGCATCAATGTTCATCAAGGATATTGGTCTAAAATTCTCTTTTTTGGTTGTGTCTCTGCCCGGCTTTGGTATCAGAATGATGCTGGCCTCATAAAATGAGTTAGGGAGGATTCCCTCTTTTTCTATTGATTGGAATAGTTTCAGAAGGAATGGTACCAGTTCCTCCTTGTACCTCTGGTAGAATTCGGCTGTGAATCCATCTGGTCCTGGACTCTTTTTGGTTGGTAAGCTATTGATTATTGCCACAATTTCAGATCCTGTTATTGGTCTATTCAGAGATTCAACTTCTTCCTGGTTTAGTCTTGGGAGAGTGTAGTGTCGAGGAATTTATCCATTTCTTCTAGATTTTCTAGTTTATTTGCGTAGAGGTGTTTGTAGTGTTCTCTGATGGTAGTTTGTATTTCTGTGGGATTGGTGGTGATATCCCCTTTATCATTTTTTATTGCGTCTATTTGATTCTTCTCTCATTTTTTCTTTATTAGTCTTGCTAGCGGTCTATTTTGTTGATCCTTTCAAAAAACCAGCTCCTGGATTCATTGATTTTTTGAAGGGTTTTTTGTGTCTCTATTTCCCTCACTTCTGCTCTGATTTTTAGTTATTTCTTGCCTTCTGCTAGCTCTTGAATGTGTTTGCTCTTGCTTTTCTAGTTCTTGTAATTGTGATGTTAGGGTGTCAATTTTAGATCTTTCCTGCTTTCTCTTGTGGGCATTTAGTGCTATAAATTGCCCTCTACACACTGCTTTGAATGCATCCCAGAGATTCTAGTATGTTGTGTCTTTGTTCTCGTTGGTTTCAAAGAACATCTTTATTTCTGCCTTCATTTTGTTATGTACCCAGTAGTCATTCAGGGGCAGGTTGTTCAGTTTCCATGTAGTTGAGCGGTTTTCAGTGAGATTCTTAATCCTGAGTTCTAGTTTGATTGCACTGTGGTCTGAGACATAGTTTGTTATAATTTCTGTTCTTTTACATTTGCTGAGGAGAGCTTTACTTCCAACTATGTGGTCAATTTTGGAATTGGTGTGGTGTGGTGTGGTGCTGAAAAAAATGTATATTTTGTTGATTTGGGGTGGAGAGTTCTGTAGATGTCTATTAAGTCCACTTGGTGCAGAGCTGAGTTCAATTCCTGGGTATCCTTGTTAACTTTCTGTCTCGTTGATCTGTCTAATGTTGACAGTGGGGTGTTAAAGTCTCCCATTATTAATGTGTGGGAGTCTAAGTCTCTTTGTAGGTCACTCAGGACTTGCTTTATGAATCTGGGTGCTCCTGTATTGGGTGCATATATATTTAGGATAGTTAGCTCTTCTTGTTGAATTGATCCCTTTACCATTATGTAATGGCCTTCTTTGTCTCTTTTGATCTTTGTTGGTTTAAAGTCTGTTTTTTCAGAGACTAGGATTGCAACTCCTGCCTTTTTTTGTTTTCCATTTGCTTGGTAGATCTTCCTCCATCCTTTTATTTTGAGCCTATGTGTGTCTCTGCACATGAGATGGGTTTCCTGAATACAGCACACTGATGGGTCTTGACTCTTTATCCAATTTGCCAGTCTGTGTCTTTTAATTGGAGCATTTAGTCCATTGACATTTAAAGTTAATATTGTTATGTGTGAATTTGATCCTGTCATTATGATGTTAGCTGATTATTTTGCCCGTTAGTTTATGCAGTTTCTTCCTTGTCTTGATGGTCTTTACATTTTGGCATGATTTTGCAGTGGCTGGTACCAGTTGTTCCTTTCCATGTTTAGCACTTCCTTCAGGAGCTCTTTTAGGGCAGGCCTGGTGTGACATAATTTCTCAGCATTTGCTTGTATGTAAAGTATTTTATTTCTCCTTCACTTCTGAAGCTTAGTTTGGCTGGATATGAAATTCTGGGTTGAAAATTCTTTTCTTTAAGAATGTTGAATATTGGCCCCCACTCTCTTCTGGCTTGTAGGGTTTCTTCCAAGAGATCTGCTGTTAGTCTGATGGGCTTCCCTTTGACAGTAACCCCACCTTTCTCTCTGGCTTCCCTTAATATTTTTTCCTTCATTTCAACTTTGGTGAATCTGACTATTATGTGTCTTGGAGTTGCTCTTCTCGAGGAGTATCTTTGTGGCGTTCTCTGTATTTCCTGAATCTGAATGTTGGCCTGCCTTGCTAGGTTGGGGAAGTTCTCCTGGATAATATCCTGCAGAGTGTTTTCCAACTTGGTTCCATTCTCCCCATCACTTTCAGGTACACCAATCAGACGTAGATTTGGTCTTTTCACATAGTCCCATATTTCTTGGAGGCTTTGCTCATTTCTTTTTATTCTTTTTTCTCTAAACTTCCCTTCTCGCTTCATTTCATTCATTTCATCTTCCATTGCTGATACCCTGTCTTCCAGTTGATCGCATCAGCTCCTGAGGCTTCTGCATTCTTCACGTAGTTCTCGAGCCTTGGTTTTCAGCTCCATCAGCTCCTTTAAGCACTTCTCTGTATTGGTTATTCTAGTTATACATTCGTCTAAATTTTTTTCAAAGTTTTCAACTTCTTTGCCTTTGGTTTGAATGTCCTCCCGTAGCTCAGAGTAATTTGATCGTCTGAAGCCTTCTTCTCTCAGCTTGTCAAAGTCTTTCTCCATCCAGCTTTGTTCTGTTGCTGGTGAGGAACTGCGTTCCTTTGGAGGAGGAGAGGCGCTATGCTTTTTGGAGCTTCCAGTTTTTCTGTTCTTTTTTTTCCCCATCTTTGTGGTTTTATCTACTTTTGGTCTTTGATGATGGTGATGTACAGATGGGTTTTTGGTGTGGATGTCCTTTCTGTTTGTTCATTTTCCTTCTAACAGACAGGACCCTCAGCTGCAGATCTGTTGGAATACCCTGCCGTGTGAGGTGTCAGTGTTCCCCTGCTGGGGGGTGCCTCCCAGTTAGGCTGCTCGGGGGTCAGGGGTCAAGGACCCACTTGAGGAGGCAGTCTGCCCCTTCTCAGATCTCCAGCTGCGTGCTGGGAGAACCACTGCTCTCTTCAAAGCTGTCAGACAGGGACATTTAAGTCTGCAGAGGTTACTGCTGTCTTTTTGTTTGTCTGTGCCCTGCCCCCAGTGGTGGAGCCTACAAAGGCAGGCAGGCCTCCTTGAGCTGTGGTGGGCTCCACCCAGTTCGAGCTTCCCTGCTGCTTTGTTTACCTAAGCAAGCCTGGGCAATGGCAGGCGCCCCTCCCCCAGCCTTGCTGCAGCCTTGCAGTTTGATCTCAGACTGCTGTGCTAGCAATCAGCGAGACTCCGTGGGCGTAGGACCCTCTGAGCCAGGTGCGGGATATAATCTCGTGGTGCGCCGTTTTTCAAGCCTGTCGGAAAAGCGCAGTATTCGGGTGGGAGTGACCCGATTTTCCAGGTGCGTCCGTCACCCCTTTCTTTGACTAGGAAAGGGAACTCCCTGACCCCTTGTGCTTCCCGAGTGAGGCAATGCCTCGCCCTGCTTCGGCTCATGCACGGTGCATGCACCCACTGACCTGTGCCCACTGTCTGGCACTCCCTAGTGAGATGAACCCGGTACCTCAGATGGAAATGCAGAAATCACCGTCTTCTGCATGGCTCACACTGGGAGCTGTAGACCAGAGGTGTTCCTATTCGGCCATCTTGGCTCCTCCCAGAAAAATCCTAATGTTTTCAACGTGAAATATGTATTTCTATTTTAGTCTGGGTAAGTAGCATTAGATTAAGAACATTCGTTTATTTTTTATAGATGCGTAAGTCTCAATTTTCCCATTCTTAAAATGATTTCTGGTACAGACTTTGGTGCAGTACCATATAATTGTACTATCACATCTCCTTTACTATGTAATACATACCCATCATATAAAGTAGTTATATACCAGATCATATGCTAAAATGATCCATGCTCATAAACCCAAGACTGTGAAATGGACACAAAAGGTTAAGCCAAATTGATGCTGCCTCCTGTTTACCTGCAAAGTCTTTCTTATGAATAAACCAATAGACTAAAATCTTTGATCTCAAAGAAGATAAAGCCATCTCCATGGTGATATCCCAGATTCCTCATTGTTACTATTAAATACTTTTTAATATTCAACTGTTGCTGCCAATCTTCATCAATTTGATTGTAACTTGTACATACTTTTAAAGCATTTTTTTTTTGCTATAAACAGCCAGAAATTAATACTAGTAAAATTTAAGGAACTCATATTGCAAACTCTCCCTCCCACCAAAAAAAAGAGTGTATCTCCCTATAAAATTCAATGTAGTACTGGGGGAAGAATTCATTGGAGGAAGGAATACCTGCACATTTCCTAAAGGTGTAAATAAAATAAAAGCATAATATGTAGGATGCTTGCTGTTTTTATATATTTCACTTACTACTTCAATCAACTTCAATGACTAGGTTAGTTTTAGGATAGGCAGGCCCAGGAGGGAATAATTCTATCCTGCCTCAGTATGACCTATTAGTTATGATAAGAACTGCTCTTTAGCATTGACATATTCCAGTGCTCTCATTCATCAAACTAGAATAATATATCTAAGAAAGATATGATAATCTTGGGGAAAAGGAGAGATCAGTGAACCACATTTTGAAACTAGTTTTAGATTACTACCTTTAGTATTTCTAAAAAGAAAATTACATTGCTGTCGTTTTAAATCCTTTGAAATAAATGTATTTTAAAAGTCATCAGGGAAAACCATTGTTACACGACAATGTTTCTTCTAGTTGTTGTTTGTTTTGTTTTCTTTCCCTAGCTAAGTTTTACTTTCTTCCCTGAGAAAAAGAGTAGGGAACAGCTGTATGATCTATGCAATAGTTGATGCAAAACTACATCGAATCCTCATGCTGTTTGCCATGTCTTTGTCTATTGATATCAGTAAAAGCAACATGACTTGGTTTCTCAAACATACAAGTGAGATCACTCTCCTCATGAGCAACATTCAACATGCTGGAAGACCAAGTAAGACTGCAGAGAAATGCTTCATAATTTGAGACAAACAAAATAGATTCTAAATATTGGTGCGTTCCCTTCATTTTATTGCAGAGACCTCGGTGCTACCTGTATTTTTTTCTAGATGGAGAATGTGTAAAAAGCTTTAAAGTACAAAGTTTTATAGTGATCTCCCTATTATTAAACAAGATTTTACTCTTCTTTCAAAAGCTGTATATAGAAGTCATATGCGTCTCTATCTCTAAAATTTTAAGTAAACCCTTTGGAGAGATTTAGAATGAATAAATGGGAGGAGAAAGAAAACAGATGTTTCTTTTTTTTTCCAAGATGGTGGATTGGAGGTGGTGTTAGCATGCCTCTCCCACTTAGAAAGACAAATAGTGTGTAGAGATTCACACTGTGAACTTTTTTCCAAGAAGCCATGCAAAAACTTAACTGGAAAACTGAAATAATCCACAGATTCTTAAAAAAAAAAAAAAAAAAAAAAAACCCAGGAGGCTGCAGTCTACACCATGAGCCTGACAAAAAAAGCTGTAAGTCCCCAAAGTGTGGGAGAAGGAAAGACTACCTCCAGGAAGTGCTCCCACTGAAAAACCTGGCAATGTAGGCCAAGGGGCAAGGCCTTAACCCTACCCAACCCTGGAAATGATTTAGGGAGTGGCAGGGTGTGGTGGAGAATGTAAAAGTAGGAGCAGCAGCAGGAAGATCCTGGCACTCATTTCCAGTCTCCAGCACAGATTGAGGGAAATCATAACTCACAGGGGACCTCGTGGAAATCTACCAACTAACTCAGGCAGTGGTCACATGTTGAAAGTAGCTCCCAACTGAAATTTGCAATGTAATCTTCAGGGGGGACAAACTCCCTTGGCTGAAACCAGGGGCTGTATGGAAAGTGGGCTACAGTCACAAGCACAAAGCTGGGCACCCTGGCTTTGTAGGATAGCTCGAAGAATGGTGCCTGAAAACTGCAGTTGCTGTCCCTGCTGGGGAGACTTATGGCCTGGGGCAGTTTTGGGTTCTGACCATAGTCTGCCTGGAAATTAGCTGCTGCTAGTGGAACGGCACAGATGAGAGGTCTGCCTTGCCAAATGCATGGGAACTGACTGGATCTAACTGCCACCTGCTAATCCCTACTCCCTGTGTGACCTCTTCTGTGCAGCAGAGGTCACTACATTCATCCCTGTAACATTATCCAGTGGCCAGAGAACTGTCCCCCAACCCCCACAGGGGCCATTGCTTGCCCCACACATGGAGAGCCAGAGCACAGATTTGCTGACCTAGCCCCTAAATGGCTTTACCCTATCCCCTCCTCCAGTAGCTTAACACAAAGGACAGAAGCTTTTGGGAGCTCTGTGGCCCCACCCATCACCTGAGAAACCAGAGTAGCTCCGCATGGTAACATAAGGCAAGCAGAAATCCCACCACTCTACCATAGCTGGTGCTCTTTTGCACGTGCCACCTCCTGGCTGGAGGCCAACTGACATTCCATTACAGCATCTGCAGGTAGAATAACTCTGTTCCCAGGACGGAGAAAATTTGTACATGACCTAAGCTATTACAATTAACTGCACCCCCCTGGCTAACCTGGAAATCCTGAGTCTGTCCACATGACCTGTTGATTACTTATACAACTGGCATTTGAGAAAGCCCACACACCAAGGCTATTTTATAACCAAGAAATCTTAATCTAATGAATGTCACTCCTCTGCCACCCCCATCAGAGCTGGTGCTGGCCCCTGCTGCCAGGAGCCTTGATGACAGTTGACATCATTGGATCCCTTACAGACAATGCCCAGCACCAGCCTGAAGTGTGGCAGCCACACTGGGCAGCTAGAACTGGAGAACAAACAGCATTCACAGTAGTCTGGCCCTCAGGGACTCTTAGTCTTAGGGGAAAAGGGAGTGACCACATCAAGGGAACACCCCTTGATGAACAAAAGAATTCAAATGACAGGCCTTGGGTCCCAGATCTTTCCACTAGTGGGAAGTTTGTTTCAGCAGAAGCCCAGTTGCTGTGCTGGGCTCCGTGGGAAAAGACTGCAGCTCTGTCTCAACAGTCAGGCAGCCTTGGTGCTTTTGACAGGTGCTGGAGAAGAGCACTTCTTTTTCCCGCTTGTCCACCACTGCAGACACAAATGGGGCTTCTAACACAAGAGTTCAGTGTGGGTGCACCTATAGGCAGTGTTTCTGGAACATTTCAGGGTAACTGCATCTCCACAAGAGGAGCGCCTTTCAGTTCAGGCTTGCACAAAAGGTAGAGTCACAGTTCCTCTCTACTTGAAACATCAACATTCCTGGAGATGGAAAGAGGTGCCTGTCTGATCTGAATAACCAGAACACTGGGTCAGGAGTATGACTGGGAAGTGGATCATTCCTGCTGGGCTGGCAGGAGAGCTGAGGTGGCTTCCACCCTTCCTCTTGATAAGACCTCTGCATTTCACTGAGACCTCCCCCAGCCACTTCTGTCAAAGCTGAGACCTCTGTCCACCGTTAAGTATTGCATTTACCCACCTGCTTTAGCCACCACTGATTTCTACCCAAGGACACCTCTCTTGCTGGCCTGAAGCCTAAACTATTCAACCCAGCAAATAAAATATTGGGAAACAAACAAACAAACAAACAAACACTACAGGGGAATGAGATAAGCTTCAAGAGACCTCTGCCACTCCAACCCCATAGAAGACAGTGAACTTGCTCACACACTGAGCACACTGCTACTAAAACCAGCATCTGAGAAAGCCATCGTACAAAGACTCTGTTTGTTTAACCAAGGAATTTATGCAGTCTTCACCCCTGAAAGCACCAAGAGCCAAATTAGGCTACAGTAAATTGTAAACATTAAAGTCACATCCTTAAGAGGAAGAAAAAAAAACTTCAAAAAAGAAAACTTAGTCAAATCAAAAATAAATTCAAAAATGATTAGAAGAAATAGACCCAAATAAGAAGAAAGTAGAAAAAATAATTCTGGTAAAATGACAAAACAGGGTTCCGTAATATCCTCAAGATATGACACTAGTTCTTCACCAATGAACTCAAACCATAATGAAATCTTTAAAATACCCGATAAAAAAAGTCAAAAGGTGGGTTATTAAGCTACTCCAGGCAATACCAGAGAAAAATAAAAACCAACCTAAAGAAATTATTAAAACAATTCAGGATATATATGAAACTTTTTCTAAAGAGATAGATATTTTAAAGAAAAGCCAATCAGAACTTCTGAAACTGAAAAACACACTTAGGGAATCACAAAAGGCAACGGAATTTTTTTTTTTTTTTTTTGAGACGGTGTCTCGCTCTGTGGCCCAGGCTGGAGTGCAGTGGCGTCATCTGGGCTCACTGCAAGCTCCTCCTCCCGGATTCACGCCATTCTCCTGCCTCAGCCTCCTGAGTAGCTGGGACTACAGGCGCCCGACACCACGCCCAGCTAATTTTTTGTATTTTTAGTAGACATGGGGTTTCACCGTGTTAGCCAGGATGGTCTTGATCTCCTGACCTCGTGTTCCTCCCTCCTTGGCCTCCCAAAGTGCTGGGATTACAGGCTCGAGCCACTGCACCCAGTCACAATGGAAAGTTTTAACAATAGACTAGAATAGGTAGAAGAAACAATTTCAGAGCTCTAAGGCAAGCCTTTCTAATTAACCCAATCAGACAAAAGTAAAGAAAAAGAATTATAAAAATGAACTACAAGCACGGGCCACCATTCCCAGCTACTTTTAGTAATTTTTGGTAGAGTTTCACTGTGTTGCCTAGGCAGGTCTCAAACTCCTTGGTTTGAGTGACCCTCCTACCTCTGCCTCCTGAAGTATTGGGATTACAGGGGTGAGCCACCATTCCAGGCTGAAGTTTTCATTGTATGTAAAAGGCCATTCTGTGAAAGAAGTGTGCCTGAATGGAGCACTCAATCTCCACCAAACTTTAAAGAGAAACTACAGGGATTGTGAAATTTTCCATTGTTGAAAGGAGCAGCACTGGAGATAGAAGAAAGGCATCACATTCAAAATGTCTTAGTGGCTCTGAATGTCTTTTGGATATATTTAAAAGCCAATATCCAAGATCTTGTGGAATTTTAGTAATTAACTAAAGGTCGCTCTTCTTTCAATTCAAATGACATAGCAGACATTATAATTAAATTTTGTTTAAATGAAATCATACTGATTTATATGGAATTTATTATTATGTATGTGGCAAAAGCCAGAAATAGTCTAGTAATTTTTCCTGAGAATATGCCCCATCAACTGCAGATAGAGTTTTTGCCAGCTTGAAGGGCAGCAGAGCATGCTTTGTTTGAAAGAGGCGAAATTGTTTTGTTTCCTGTGTAATGCCAGTGAATTAAGAAAAGCTCTCACAGCGATTACATATACCATTGATTTTCCACTGGAAGCTGGAACTTTGAAGGTGGCAGCTAATTTGGTCCATAGGGAACCAAAGGATAATGTAGATATTGCATGACAGCCTCCTGATGCTGGAAAAAAGGGAAAGAATAACCCAGTTTCTCTGTCTTCCTACCCTCAATTTTACCCCCAGTGCTGCCCATTGGCTAAACCTTTATGCTGACATAGTATAAATAACAATGCAGTACGTAGTTGAAGTGTTGTTTAAGAAATCAGACCAATGATGAAATAATAAATAATTCAGACACAAGAATTTTCTTTCTTCTCATGAGCAAGCTCTAACTGCTAAAATATTGGAGGAATATCATTTATTCTTTATTTAAGATATGGCACATTCCTCAGGTTTGCCAACAAATGAGAATGAATAACATTTTATATTATATGAATTATATTTATGAGAGGCTGTGAAATATTCTGAAATATTAATGGCATCATGTACATTCAATTCATTACACATTTTCAAATTGAAATATATTATTTACACTATGATAGCTATATATATATCTCCTATATGTGTTCCTTGCTATTTTTCTAAAGTGATAAAAATGCTTACTCTATTTTTCTATTTTTATTTATAATCTCTAGAGGAATAAACAGTTATGTATTATTGTCCTCATTTTTTACATTAAAACAAAACAAAATGAAGAGAATTTAAATCTGGTCAAAATGATATAGTCACTTGCTAATACAAGCCATATGGTATATTTCTTCCTGATTCAGTGTGCCTCTTAAATAAATTCATTTTCCCACATATAAAAAGTATTATTTATACCTACTCATTAGTTTTACACATATGCAGAACTATATGCATTGCTTGCATATTGCTCATAATTACTTATATCTAGAATTCCATTCCATTCATAAAGATTCTAAGCACATAAAGCATGAATCAGCAATGTAAATGATCATCTGTTTCATTATCAGCTTAAAGCACAAACCTCTGGCTAAAAAGGAAAATATATTTCTCTTAGATATTACAGGATACTACCTCTCATGAGAGTTGTCCTTCCACTGTGGAGATGTTAAGTAACAAATCATAATGAAATAACATTCATATAAACCCACAGAACTTGGAGAAGAAAAATCATACATTTAGAACAATTTCCTAAGCTGTTCTTCTCAAAAGTAGAATGTTAGACAATACAATAGCATTAGTTTACATGGTTTTTTTCAGTAGACATTCATTACTAGTCAGTAAGCTGGATATAAAAAAATTAGGTGATGAGGTAACAGTCTGGTAATAAACAACTAGTGGTAAAACTTCCTCATAAAGACAACAACAAAATACTGTGTGCATTATATGCACACACACACATACACACAGACACACAAAGTAGAGATGATGTTGAGATGTCTTCCTACAGGGAGGGGGGTGCAACGGGAAAGGGTTTATAAAAGAGGATGTGCTTGAGTTGAGCTTTAAATGTTGAAATGTGATCACCAGAAAAACATGCAAGAGAAGTGTAATCCAGGCAGGAAAAATAAGATATGCAATGCACAAAAGCAGGGAACAGAGGATGTGCTCAGGACAGTTGATGTGTGTGTATTCAGGGGGCAGGATAAATAATGAGGTAAGCAGTGGTCTGTCTCATCAAAGGGAAGCTGATGGACAATTTCCTGGAAAAATATATTGATGATTCTACTAGAGTATGATAGAATGTGCTAGCCTGGAAAAATTGTCTGCTCTCTAGGATATTCAATTCACTTAATAAGGCCTGAGGAGAAAGTTTTCAAGCCACAGCCTGTATCCAAAGAAATTTAGTTCATGAATTTAGAGCTTAAGAAAATAAATACTGGATGGGAGGTTTCTTCTTCAGTCCAGGCCTATCCAGGACCCCCAGTTTCATTTAGGTCTGTCTAGATGACTTGCAGATATAATTCTTTTGGATCTTAGAGATCTTCCTAAACTTAGGTTGAGTATTCCATGACAGCTGATGAATTTTACACAGTCCTAACCCAATCTTTTAGGCAGTCCTAAGTACTTCAAGACTGTACAGAAGGCTGTTCTCCCATCATCAAGTACATGATAAAATAATAATAATAACAATAAAATAAAATAAAATATTTTTTAAAAGAAGGCTGTGTAGTACATGTGAAGCCTGAATGCAACTGCTAGAAGAAGAAAGTGTTAGGTCTTCCCTTATCATGGTTAGTGGTTCAAATCAATTTGATTTAATTTCAGATAATTGTATTTGAGCCACTATTGTGTGTTAATACTGTACTGTAAGGGCTGTGTAGTGTACAAAGTTGAATAAGACACAGGTTCTACCCTCAAGTCTCATGACCCAAAATCAGATGGATGGTGATATTACAGTTGGAAAATAGTGGAACAGAGAATGCTTTTCCACTTTTTTGTTTTTTCTTTCTCTGTGTGTTCATGAAAACAACAACTTTTTGGGCGGGGTGGGGTGTGGTGAGACAGGATCTCACAGGAGTGCAGTGGTGTGACTATTGCTCATTGCTGCTTCAAACTTCTAGGCTCAAGTGATCCTCCCACTTCAGCCTCCCAAGTAGGTAGGACTACAAGTGCCAGCCACAGCATCCAGCTAATGTTTTGTTTTGTTTTGTTTTGTTTTGCTTTGTTTTGTTTAACTTTTATTTTTGTAGAGATGGGGTCTCACTATGTTGCTCAGGCTAGTCTCAAAATCCTGGCCTCAAGCTATTGTCCTAACTTGGCCTCCCAAAGTGCTGGGATTACAGGAGTGCTTGTACTACCATGCCCAGCTAAAAATAGTAATATTTATGAGGCAGAGGTTTACCAAAGTTACGGTGAATCAGAGCAATGGCTTATAGAGATAATTTCTACCATTGGCTGTGGTCTCTTCCAACTGTAAGTCTTTAGACAGTTTTAGAGTTTTCCAGCCATGGCATGTGAACTTGTAAGAATAACAAAAGAAAAAAAAATTCCATAAATAATACAACCTGCTGTACCAATTAATTATACTACATAGTAAGACATCCGACACTTAGTGATTTAAAGAAATAATCTTTTTTGTTTTTTGATTCAAAGTTCTTTGGGTCTGGCAGATAGTCATCTGATTTCCATTGGCCTCATTTATGTTCTTACAGTTGCTAATGGGTCAGGCACGCTCTAATCTAGGAAGGCCTTTGCAGATGTGTGCAGTGTGTGTATTATTGGCCAGGGTGATAGAAATGACCACATAGTATGTCTCTCATCCTCTTTGATCATAAAGTTCCAAGATAGTGAGGAGACCTAGGAAAATCCCAAGCCCTGGGCACAACATGACTTACTTACTCTGCATTCTATTGGCCAAAGAAAGACACATGGCCAGACCAGATTTAGGAAATGGGGAACCACATGCTGTGAAACTGCATTGCCAAGACCATGAACACAGGAACTAGTGAAGAATTGTGGCCATTTTTGCAAGCTACCATGACAAAGCATTAAAGAAATTTTTAAAACAGCACTGTAGATTTCTATTTTTTTCGTTACAGGTGCTTTATGGTGTTATGTGATTTTATATAATGAAACCTGAACTGGGTGGGGCATAATGACTCATGCCTACAATCCCAGCACTTTGGGAGGCTGAGTTAGGTGGAATGCTTGAGTCCAGGAGGTTTTGGTTGCAGTGAGCCATGATGGCGCTACTGCACTCCAGCCTGGTGACAGAGAAAGAGCCCGCATCAAAAAAAATTAAAAAAAAAAAAAAAAGGCAAATAAACAGAAAACCCTGAAATGACCTGTAATATGAGAAATAGGATCATTGTCTACCTGAGGTTAGATTAGCTAAGAGGATACCCAAAATATGTTACAAGACTAATTTAATCAAGGACAGAAACCAAACATTACTTCCACAAGCAATCCATGTGATTGTAGAGTTTCTACCAAAGTCTAAAAACACCAACTTAAAAACCTATTTTTTAAGTTCCCCTTTGTTTTTGAGACTGAAGATCTTGTGCTATAACATCAAGCATCTGGTGCTTAATCTCTACAAATAAGAAGTTTCCCTTTCTAATGTCCTGAGTGCAATTTCAATATGGTCAGTTGCCCTCTTGATAAATCTTTGTCCTATCTTTTCTGTATATTTTTGCCCAGTCTTACCATTGAGAGACCATGATATAGCTCTGGGGATGTGGCATTAATGTTGCCTGTTGCCGGGACATTGATACTAGCCTAAGAATAAAAGCCTGCATCGATAATCTGGTTCTTCATCCAGTGTATGAGACAGAAGTGTCTGGAATCCCTTGCACCTTTGTTAAAAGTCACACATTTTAAAACTCTATGCCTTCAGATTCCTGGAAGTGCTATAATAGTACACTAACTCTGGTAGGAGCCCCACTGGTGGCTGAAGTCCAGTTATGGAGATACAAGGCAGGGATGATGATTTTGAGCATATGTTACAGCCAGTGTGGGAAAAAGGCAGGGCTCCTGCTTCCCCTCTTGATCCTTCTGAGATGAAAATAACAAGATTTATTGCAAGTTTCATGGCCTTAAAAACAGGCCAGCAACCTCCATGTTTTCTTTTCCCAACAGAAAGTGTGAGCACACATTGTGTACATAGCTTGACCTAAGTAAAATAACTCAACCAATCCATGTTTACATTTCACTGCTGGTGTTCCAAACAATCAGGATGAGCCTAGTGGCCAGTCCTGGCAGACAGCATAGTGTTTGTCTTTCTTCCATTGGTGCCCTAGGTGTTAGCTTCCCTTCTGATTGGCATTAGTGTCTGCAGCTGTTCCTGCTGTCTGAAGCTAATGATTCCCTATCATGTGCCTCCCAGTAATGGTAGTGTTTTATTTCATCCATTCACTCGTTCAACAAACATTAGATGAAACCTACTATTCAATAAGATTTTTGTAAAAGCACTCCAAGATGACAAGAATATTTTATTTTTGTGGCTAACAGCAAATAGATAAAACCCAAATACACTGATTCTTCTTTCAAATCTCAGATCTTTTATTTTGAGACAGCAGAGTGCAGTGGAGGAAGTCCTAGAAGAACTTCTGTGAAAAACTCCTGTAACAAGTATGCTGAAGATTTTGACCCATGGACTGAGAACAAAATGCAACTTCAGTTTTGTCTCCCTCTTGTTGTAATTGTCTTGATCTGTAATGATTAAATGGCTTTTACTTTGACTGGTGCCTCCCAAATTGACTGTCCTTGCTGGCCTTGAGGGATGGTAAAATTCAACTGTTTTTCTTGTCCCTTTGATCTCTGCAGAGGTTCTCTGATAATCCCCCATCTCATAAAAAAAGGATAATGAGCCTCTATTCTAAGTGATGGCTGAATGCTGCATCTTCAGCTGCTGGGCATTCCACATTGCATCTTCTTCCTTCTGCTGATGCCCCCATGAGGTGGCCTTATGACACAGGATCCAAAGTCGTACGTTGACTCTTTGACTTTACATGGCCCACATCTGACCCACAGCAAATAGTGACATTTTCTGTGCCAACTTTGGATGTTTATGCAATCTCAGTGCAGCACTTTTTTGACACTATCACCAAGGTATGGGTATGGCCTATCAAGTGGTTCTCTTGAAGTCCTCTTCATGAAGCTTATGTTTAGAAGTTAGCATGCCCCAAACTTTCCCCTAAAGTTTGGAGGCACACATCAAATCAAGAGCTTTCTCCAGAGAAATTTCCTTACCAATCTCTTTTCCTTTCCACCGTCTCTGATATGTTTCTATGCACTTAACCTGGCAGAGGTGCAAGAGCCATGTTTTTGTGACATTTTCTTTGAATGTCAGCACATGGGGATGGGGGTGTCTGGCACATCCTCTGCTATCTGATAGTTTTTTGTGGTACCTCAGTTGAAACCTGAGGCAGGCACAGTCCCATGCTAACTTCCTATTAACACTCACTATATAACTTTGCAGAAACAATTTAATTTTCTGGATCTGTATTTCCTCCTTCATAAAACAAGAGAGTTAAAGCTCAATCTCTAGGGTCCCTTGCAGCTCTCAAATTTGGTGGTTTTTGCAGTTAAATTTCCATAGACAGTGTAACAAAATAGAAAACACATTGAGATAGTTGTCATGAGAGTTAATCCCAGCTATAATCCCATTGACAAATTGAACAACCTTAAGCAAGCAAGTCTCAATTTTTCTAGAACTCAGTTTTCTCATATGTAAAGGGATGAGGAATCACCAGATGACTTGTAAGGGTCTCTTCCAAAGCTAAATTATATTTCTTTATCATTTATTATTTCTGGATATGTCCTCAGTTACAAATATGTATTTTATCACACACAAAATAAGATCTAAAACAGGAAAAATATTGCAATTAAGCACAAAATGTAGCTGAGAAACCTCGGGTCTGGCAAAAGCATAATAGAAAATGCAAGATTTAATGCACTTCAATAGTTTGAAAGGCTTCATGTTATGAGAACCAGTGGGCAGTTTTAGTATCTGAAAACTTGGTTGCTGATTCAGTTTTAGCCTCTTCCTCAGCTGTATGAGCACCGAAAAATCACAAAATCTTTTGAACTTTATTGAAATAATAAGTATTTAATGGAATTGATTTAAGGACCACATGACATAAATTTGAAAGTAATTTTTAAATGGAAAGAATAAAACAAATATGGGTTATTATACTTAAATACATTAAATGCTGTAGAAAGAAAATAATCATTTTTTCTACTTATAAAGAATGATGATGAGAGAGTAATGCATTGATTATCACCAGTATCTGCAAGGTGATTGCAGAATATCTTGTAATATAACTGGAAGCAAGAGGGGCATGAAAACCATTGGCTGGAAGGTGAAGTAGACTCTGGTTGCTAGTGAGGGATACATTCCAAGACCTTTGTGATTCTGCTAACTAGAAATATTTGTCCAGGCTCTTGGTTTTCTCTCAAATCGCATTTCAGTCAAGCCACATGTTTCCTGTGAATATCCTCATGTGAGTAATTGGAGCATAGAATAAAACATTCCAGTCATACTTTATTTTGTTTCCACAGAGAGTGGAGTATGCTTGTTCGTATCACTGTTCCAAGTCTTTGCAAAAATATGCATTTTGCTTTTTAATGTACCTAAAACTTCTGTTATCTAAATAAGAACTATCAATCAGGGGAGGAGCCAAGATGGCCGAATAGGAGCAGGTTCTACAGCTCCCAGCGTGAGCGACGCAGAAGACGGGTGATTTCTGCATTTCCATCTGAGGTACCGGGTTCATCTCACTAGGGAGTGCCAGACAGTGGGCGCAGGCCAGTGGGTGCGCGCACCATGTGCGAGCTGAAGCAGGGCCAGGCATTGCCTCACCTGGGAAGCGCAAGGGGTCAGGGAGTTCCCTTTCCGAGTCAAAGAAAGGGGTGACAGACGCACCTGGAAATCAGGTCACTCCCACCCAAATATTGCGCTTTTCAGACCGGCTTAAAAAACAGCGCATCACGAGACTATATCCCACACCTGGCTCAGAGGGTCCTACACCCACGGAATCTCACTCATTGCTAGCACAGCAGTCCGAGATCAAACTGCAAGGCAGCAGCGAGGCTGGGGGAGGGGCGCCCGCCATTGCCCAGGCTTGCTTAGGTAAACAAAGCAACCAGGAAGCTCGAACTGGGTGGAGCCCACCACAGCTCAAGGAGGCCTGCCTGCCACTGTAGGCTCCACCACTGGGGGCAGGGCACAGACAAACAAAAAGACAGCAGTAACCTCTGCAGACTTAAATGTCCCTGTCTGACAGCTTTGAAGAGAGCAGTGGTTCTCCCAGCACGCAGTTGGAGATCTGAGAACCGGCAGACTGCCTCCTCAAGTGGGTCCCTGACCCCTGACCCCCGAGCAGCCTAACTGGGAGGCACCCCCCAGCAGGGAAACACTGACATCTCACACGGCAGGGTATTCCAACAGACCTGCAGCTGAGGGTCCTGTCTGTTAGAAGGAAAATGAACAAACAGAAAGGACATCCACACCAAAAACCCATCTGTACATCACCATCATCAAAGACCAAAAGTAGATAAAACCACAAAGACGGGGAAAAAACAGAACAGAAAAAATGGAAACTCTAAAACGCAGAGCGTCTCTCCTCCTCCAAAGGAACGCAGTTCCTCACCAGCAACGGAACAAAGCTGGATGGAGAATGACTTTGACGAGCTGAGAGAAGAAGGCTTCAGACGATCAAATTACTCTGAGCTATGGGAGGACATTCAAACCAAAGGCAAAGAAGTTGAAAACTTTGAAAAAAATTTAGACGAATGTATAACTAGAATAACCAATACAGAGAAGTGCTTAAAGGAGCTGATGGAGCTGAAAACCAAGGCTCGAGAACTACGTGAAGAATGCAGAAGCCTCAGGAGCCGATGTGATCAACTGGAAGAAAGGGTATCAGCAATGGAAGATGAAATGAATGAAATGAAGCGAGAAGGGAAGTTTAGAGAAAAAAGAATAAAAAGAAATGAGCAAAGCCTCCAGGAAATATGGGACTATGTGAAAAGACCAAATGTACGTCTGATTGGTGTACCTGAAAGTGATGGGGAGAATGGAACCAAGTTGGAAAACACTCTGCAGGATATTATCCAGGAGAACTTCCCCAATCTAGCAAGGCAGGCCAACGTTCAGATTCAGGAAATACAGAGAACGCCACAAAGATACTCCTCGAGAAGAGCAACTCCAAGACACATAATTGTCAGATTCACCAAAGTTGAAATGAGGAAAAAATGTTAAGGGCAGCCAGAAAGTAAGGTCGACTTACCCTCAAAGGGAAGCCCATCAGACTAACAGCGGATCTCTCGGCAGAAACCCTACAAGCCAGAAGAGAGTGTGGGCCAATATTCAACATTCTTAAAGAAAAGAATTCTCAACCCAGAATTTCATATCCAGCCAAACTAAGCTTCATAAGTGAAGGAGAAATAAAATACTTTACAGACAAGCAAATGCTGAGAAATTTTGTCACCACCAGGCCTGCCCTAAAAGAGCTCCTGAAGGAAGCGCTAAACATGGAAAGGAACAACTGGTACCAGCCGCTGCAAAATCATGCCAAAATGTAAAGACCATCGAGACTAGGAAGAAACTGCATCAACTAACGAGCAAAATCACCAACTAACATCATGACAGGATCAAATTCACACATAAAAATATTAACTTTAAATGTCAATGGACTAAATTCTCCAATTAAAAGACACAGACTGGCAAATTGGATAAAGAGTCAAGATCCATCAGTGTGCTGTATTCAGGAAACCCATCTCACGTGCAGAGACACACATAGGCTCAAAATAAAAGGATGGAGGAAGATCTACCAAGCAAATGGAAAACAAAAAAAGGCAGGAGTTGCAATCCTAGTCTCTGAAAAAACAGACTTTAAACCAACAAAGATCAAAAGAGACAAAGAAGGCCATTACATAATGGTAAAGGGATCAATTCAACAAGAAGAGCTAACTATCCTAAATATATATGCACCCAATACAGGAGCACCCAGATTCATAAAGCAAGTCCTGAGTGACCTACAAAGAGACTTAGACTCCCACACATTAATAATGGGAGACTTTAACACCCCACTGTCAACATTAGACAGATCAACGAGACAGAAAGTCAACAAGGATACCCAGGAATTGAACTCAGCTCTGTACCAAGTGGACCTAACAGACATCTACAGAACTCTCCACCCCAATTCAACAGAATATACATTTTTTTCAGCACCACACCACACCTATTCCAAAATTGACCACATAGTTGGAAGTAAAGCTCTCCTCAGCAAATGTAAAAGAACAGAAATTATAACAAACTATCTCTCAGACCACAGTGCAATCAAACTAGAACTCAGGATTAAGAATCCCACTCAAAGCCGCTCAACTACATGGAAACTGAACAACCTGCTCCTGAATGACTACTGGGTACATAACGAAATGAAGGCAGAAATAAAGATGTTCTTTGAAACCAACAAGAACAAAGACACAACATACCAGAATCTCTGAGACGCATTCAAAGCAGTGTGTAGAGGGCAATTTATAGCACTAAATGCCCACAAGAGAAAGCAGGAAAGATCCAAAATTGACACCCTAACATCACAATTAAAAGAACTAGAAAAGCAAGAGCAAACACATTCAAAAGCTAGCAGAAGGCAAGAAATAACTAAAATCAGAGCAGAACTGAAGGAAATAGAGGCACAAAAACCCTTCAAAAAATCAATGAATCCAGGAGCTGGTTTTTTGAAAGAATCAACAAAATTGATAGACCGCTAGCAAGACTAATAAAGAAAAAAAGAGAGAAGAATCAAATAGATGCAATAAAAAATGATAAAGGGGATATCACCACCGATCCCACAGAAATACAAACTACCATCAGAGAATACTACAAACACCTCTACACAAATAAACTAGAAAATCTAGAAGAAATGGATAAATTCCTCGACACATACACTCTCCCAAGACTAAACCAGGAAGAAGTAGAATCTCTGAATAGACCAATAACAGGATCTGAAATTGTGGCAATAATCAATAGTTTACCAACCAAAAAGAGTCCAGGACCAGATGGATTCACAGCCGAATTCTACCAGAGGTACAAGGAGGAACTGGTACCATTCCTTCTGAAGCTATTCCAATCAATAGAAAAAGAGGGAATCCTCCCTAACTCATTTTATGAGGCCAGCATCATTCTGATACCAAAGCCGGGCAGAGACACAACCAAAAAAGATAATTTTAGACCAATATCCTTGATGAACATTGATGCAAAAATCCTCAATAAAATACTGGCAAACTGAATCCAGAAGCACACCAAAAAGCTTATCCACCATGATCAAGTGGGCTTCATCCCTGGGATGCAAGGTTGGTTCAATATACGCAAATCAATAAATGTAATCCAGCATATAAACAGAGCCAAAGACAAAAACCACATGACAATCTCAATAGATGCAGAAAAAGCCTTTGACAAAATTCAAAAACCCTTCATGCTAAAAACTCTCAATAAATTAGGTATTGATGGGACGTATTTCAAAATAATAAGAGCTATCTATGACAAACCCACAGCCAATATCATACTGAATGGGCAAAAACTGGAAGCATTCCCTTTGAAAACTGGCACAAGACAGGGTTGCCCTCTCTCACCACTCCTATTCAACATAGTGTTGGAAGTTCTGGCCAGGGCAATTAGGCAGGAGAAGGAAATAAAGGGTATTCAATTAGGAAAAGAGGAAGTCAAATTGTCCCTGTTTGCAGATGACATGATTGTATATCTAGAAAACCCCATTGTCTCAGCCCAAAATCTCCTTAAGCTGATAAGCAACTTCAGCAAAGTCTCAGGATACAAAATCAATGTACAAAAATCACAAGCATTCTTATACACCAACAACAGACAAACAGAGAGCCAAATCATGAGTGAACTCCCATTCACAATTGCTTCAAAGAGAATAAAATACCTAGGAATCCAACTTACAAGGGATGTGAAGGACCTCTTCAAGGAGAACTACAAACCACTGCTCAAGGAAATAAAAGAGGATACAAACAAATGGAAGAACATTCCATGCTCATGGGTAGGAAGAATCAATATCATGAAAATGACCATACTGCCCAAGGTAATTTACAGATTCAATGCCATCCCCATCAAGCTACCAATGACTTTCTTCACAGAATTGGAAAAAACTACTTTAAAGTTCATATGGAACCAAAAAAGAGCCCGCATTGCCAAGTAAATCCTAAGCCAAAAGAACAAAGCTGGAGTCATCACGCTACCTGACTTCAAACTATACTACAAGGCTACAATAACCAAAACAGCATGGTACTGGTACCAAACCAGAGTTATAAATCAATGGAACAGAATAGAGCCCTCAGAAATAACGCCGCATACCTACAACTTTCTGATCTTTGACAAACCTGAGAAAAACAAGCAATGGGGAAAGGATTCCCTATTTAATAAATGGTGCTGGGAAAACTGGCTAGCCATATGTAGGAAGCTGAAACTGGATCCCTTCCTTACACCTTATACAAAAATCAATTCAAGATTGATTAAAGATTTAAACGTTAGACCTAAAACCATAAAAACCCTAGAAGAAAACCTAGACATTACCATTCAGGACATAGGCATGGGCAAGGACTTCATGTCCAAAACACCAAAAGCAATGGCAACAGAAGCCAAAATTGACAAACGGGATCTAATTAAACTAAAGAGCTTCTGCACAGCAAAAGAAGCTACCATCAGAGTGAACAGGCAACCTACAAGATGCGAGAAAATTTTTGCAACCTACTCATCTGACAAAGGGCTAATATCCAGAATCTACAATGAACTCAAACAAATTTACAGGAAAAAAACAAACAACCCCATCAAAAAGTGGGCGAAGGACATGAACAGACACTTCTCAAAAGAAGACATTTATGTAGCCAAAAAACACATGAAAAAATGCTCATCGTCACTGGCCATCAGAGAAATGCAAATCAAAACCACTATGAGATACCATCTCACACCAGTTAGAATGGCAATCATTAAAAAGTCAGGAAACAACAGGTGCTGGAGAGGATGTGGAGAAATAGGAACACTTTGACACTGTTAGTGGGACTGTAAACTAGTTCAAGCATTGTGGAAGTCAGTGTGGCGATTCCTCAGGGATGTAGAACTAGAAATACCATTTGACCCAGCCATCCCATTACTGGGTATATACCCAAATGACTATAAATCATGCTGCTATAAAGACACATGCACACGTATGTTTATTGCGGCATTATTCACAATAGCAAAGACTTGGAACCAACCCAAATGTCCAACAATGATAGACTGGATTAAGAAAATGTGGCACATATACACCATGGAATATCTATGCAGCCATAAAAAATGATGAGTTCATGTCCTTTGTAGGGACATGGATGAAATTGGAAATCATCATTCTCAGTAAACTATCGCAAGAACAGAAAACCAAACACTGCATATTCTCACTCATAGGTGGGAACTGAACAATGAGATCACATGGACACAGGAAGGGGAATATCACACTCTGGGGACTGTGGTGGGGTGGGGGGAGGGGGGAGGGATAGCACTGGGAGATATACCTAATGCTAGATGATGAGTTAGTGGGTGCAGTGCACCAGCATGGCACATGTATACATATGTAACTAACCTGCACAATGTGCACATGTACCCTAAAACTTAAAGTATAAAAAAAAAAAAAAAAAGAACTATCAATCATTTAGACTACTGGAGATTTGCTTGATTTTCAACCTCAACACTAGGCTTTCTTTGTAGTGGTAATTTAAAAGAACAGTTTCTTTTTTAATCATTAATTTAAAAAAATATATCTTTAGTATGTAGCTCAAATTCATAGTTTTTCAAAATGATCTAATATATCCTAAAATCCTTGAAACCCTGACCATTATATCCAGAATGCCAAGGTTCTATCAGCATACCTAGCATTCCTACCAGAAATACATTTCTCTATTAATTTAATTTTCCTTTTTTTTCCTATTCAGACTACTTCATATCTCTCTCCTCAAAACCCCAACATCCCTGCTTTCTCTCATTAGTGGATAATATCACCTTTTAATTAATTGAGAAAATGAAAATAATAAGACAAGAATTCATGTTCCCAACACTAATTACTCATCTAATGACTTTCATGCAGTCACCAGCTCCTGCCTGTATCATTATTTTCTTTCTGCAGAATCACTCTCATCAGGAAGAAAGCAGCCTCCATTATTTCCCATGTTAGAAATCCTTCTTTGGACCACATATTTCTCTTCCTTTACTGGCTCATTTGTCTGTTAAGTTTCTAAACTAGTTGCAAGTACTTAGTGTACTTCTTCCCCTCCCACACTCTCCTGAACCCCAACATTCTTATCCCAGTTAACAATGACCTCCATCTTGCAAAATCAGTTAAATGTGTTTATGTGCTCATATTTCTCAAATGATTCACTGTTATATTTTCACAGTTGATTGTTACTTCTTCAAAACTTCTCTCTAGGCTTCTGGGAAATCATACTTTCCTGGTTTGTTTTCTGACATATTAAGTGTTCCTTCCCAGTCTTGTGTGTTAACTCTTTTTTTCCAACTTAAATGTTAGAATGGCCAAGAACTTGGTCTTATAGTTTTCTGTACTTACACATACTCCCTAGGTTGTGTCTTATACTTTTTCTCTTCTCTATACATATCTCACCCACTACTGTAGTTTTAAATATAATGTAAATATAGATGACTGGTAAAATCATATCTTAAGTCCCTATCTCTACACCAAGGTCCACACATATATCTAGCTGTTACTTAATGATTTTAATTTAAAATTTAAAATAGACACCTCAAGTTTAGCAGCAAAAACAAGGTTCTTTTTTACCTCCGTCTTAAGCCATTTCTTCCGTGCTTTTCCCAGTAAATGGCCCTAAGACAATATAAGAAAGAGACTTGGTCCTGGCAGACAAGAGACATGGTAACCAAAATCCCAATGGGCCTAACATGTCTGGACATATTCCCTCCCTTACCTTCTTGTCTCCCTGAAGAAACTGACCCACTTCACATAACAGAGGGTGGGGACCTTCCTAATTTAGCAGACCAGACCAAATTCCTAGCCATAAAAGGAAGAACTTAGCCATTTATCTCCTTTATTTATGTCTTCCAAGGTTGCTGAACCAGGACTCTAACATTCCTGATAAGAATCTGACCAGATACAGCTGGCTGGTGACAAGATGGACTCCTGTAGTTTTCAAAGACTTTTTCCTCATTAAAATCTCGATATAATACTAAAATCTCTTCCCAGAGTAGGGCTTACCTGCCATTTTGTGTACATGGGATGCCTGTTAGTATGTGAGGCCTCAACGTGCAGGCACAGGAAAAGCCCCACCCAGTCGTACCTGCGTTTTACGTTTTTCTGTCTCAGTTTCCTTGAAGTGACAGGAGCCAAGAGCCAAGGCACTCAGGGAGCTAGCATCAAGATCTCTTTCCTGTATGCTGTCCCTTCGTGCTATCTGAGACACAAGGATATTAAAACCTCACTGGAGAAAAACTTCTATTTGGCCTGGTGTTAATTTCTAGTTATCTAAGAGCCAAAGAAAGACCTTGAGCTCTAGGGTATGATAATAACACCCCAACCTATGCAAGTGCTCACACCAAAATCCAAGGAGTCATCTGTGATTCCTCTCTTTCCCTAAATCCCACATCCAACTCATCAGTAAGTCAAACTGGCTTCATATTGAGAGTATAACTTGCTCATTTCTCTCTGTCTGAACTCTATAGCATCTTAGTCCAGTTTACTCTTTCTCTTACTTGAACTTTGGCAATTGCCTCCTAGCTGGTATCCCTGTTTCTCCCCTTATCCATGTTCAACTCATTTTCCATTCAGCATGTCTGATAGCATAACTCTTCTTAAGACCTGCTGATACCTTGCCATTGTTTTTAAAATAAAATCTGTCTAAAAGAAACACAATTATTTCTTACATGAAACAAATGTGTATTTTTTGTGAAAGACTAGTGATTAAAGATAAAAATATGTATCTCATGCTATGTGTATGTATATGTATGTGTATGCATGTGTATACAGCACATGCATGTACAACACATCCATATACGTACATATCCATAGAAAGTGATTGGGTAATTGAAAAAAGTCAATGATCAAGTAAGAAAATTTAGTTGATCTTCTGGTAATAAGTAATCATTTTTAATCAAAAATCAGTTGAGACATATAACACAAAAGAATGCAAAACTGTAAAATTTTAAGGTAATCTGAGACTTCTATGAAATTATGTGACTGGAATTAATTATTTCAGGTTAAGTGCCCAGATTCTAGGAAAGGGACTTTCCCTTACCTCCCCCATTAAAGGGAATTAGATGGGAAATACACACACACACACACACACACGCACACACTGAACTCCTAGGCTTAAGCAGTTCTCCTGCCTCAGCCTCCAGAGTAGGTGGGGCTGCAGGCATGCACCACCACCTCCAGATCTTAATGGTTTTATTTTGAATCAACAATCAGCCCCAGATCAAGACTCTTCATGTTATACAGCAGGGGAGTGGAAAGGACACTTTAATTATATTACAAAGCTTTCAAAAGACAATAAAATTCTTTAATTACTTATTATGTGTATGACACTTATAAACTATTGTCAAATTTATCAAAACAATCAAAACTTTCAGAAATTATAAGCTGTGAGAACCATTACTCCCAAACAATCTGTGCTTTTTCTTCATAGCTATTCCTAGATCCTGGTGAGCCTAAGTCCTTTGTAATCTTCCTGAGTATGAGAATAACAGTACATTATTTAGAGTTAATAAAGAAATCTCACCTTCCCAGGCATTTCATTTTGAAATCAGGATTGCACCCCAGTGTTTGTTTCATGACCACCAAATACACCAAACACTGGAAAATATTTCTGTACTACATCTCACACTGGGCTGTGGGCCCAAGACTTCCTATCATAAATGTTTCCACTGGCCTCTATAAGAAGGAAATGACTTTAACTTAAACTTTAACTAGCAAGAAAATGTTCAGAAACTGCTTAGACTCTCTCTCTCTTATGCTGGATAAAGCAAGCAAAACCCACCACATCTCTATATGGATAAATCTCTCACCTTAAATTTTGCCATTGACTACTGAAGTAACGAGAAATGTTTCTCTTCTGACTAGCCTTCCCCATCTCAGATTCCTCATCCTCATGGGGACTGGGCCAACCCACCAGGAAGAAAAACCACTCTCACTCTTCTTGGTGCACAGAGTCATGGTGGAAGCACTGTGGGAAAGCAATCAAGACAGCAGAGTGAATTAATTTTCCACTGTCAGAATAAAGCTTCATAACTCACGGATGTGAAGAATTGACAAGGAAACCTGCAGTCACATCAGTTTGTACTCATCAGAGTCTCCTTATCCCTGGAAATAATATAAACTTCAAATCCAATCACAATCTGGCTCATTTCCTGTTGCTCAAAGAAACGTCTGTTCGCAACATTTTCATTTTAATGGCTTTAACATAAACGTCCACCTCACCATCATAAACTCATCCATTCAGATTTGGAAGATAGACTCTGTAACAATGGTGAAATAATCTAGAAGGATATTTTTATAGTGTAAGAGGAAGCCTTGTGTGTGTGAGTGAGGGATGTGTGTGTGTGTGACAGACAGAGAGAAAATGGAAAAGGAAGGCAATGAAAGGAAAGGGAAAAGCAGGGAAGAGAAGCCTTCTACAAAACAAAAGAGTTTAGCATAGAAGAAAATTTTCTAGCTCTCCAAATGAAGACAGCAATAAATAAACTTCAAATCAATAAATCCAAGGGTAACTTTGTGCCCCAAGGTTGATGTTAGCTCTATATCATTCTTTCAATATCACTCTATGACTCCTATCAGTAGTCAAGACATTCAGAAAAGAATGGAAGCAAATTTCCTGACTAAGAAACTCTCTCCCAGCTAGTGAATGTGCTGGCTTAAATAACTAATTGCCTAGAAGAAACATGTAGAATACAGAATGATATTCTACATGGTTTTACTTGATGATCAATGATGAGAGTATTAGTCCATTCTCATGCTGCTATAAGGACATACACAGGACTGGGTAATTTATAAAGGAAAGAGGCTTAATTAAGTCACAGTTCTACAGGGCTGGGAAGGCCTCAGGAAACTTATTATACAATCATAGCAGAAGGAGAAGCAAACATGTCCTTCTTCACAAGGCAGCAGGAAAGAGAAGAATAAGAGCTGATCAAAAGAGGAAGCCCCTTATAAAACTATCAGATCTAGTGAGAACTTACTATCAAGAGAATAGCATGGGGAAAACCACCCCCATGATTCAATTACCTCCCACTAGGTCCCTCCCATAACACGTGGAGATTATGGGAACTAAATTTGAAGGTGAGATTTGGGTGGGGACACAGTCAAACCATATCAGTGAGCTATTGATTTTTTTTGTTTGTTTTTACTATATTTTTCTTGTGACTAAAGAAAAGTATTAGTAAAATTAATGGCAGAATGCTTGCATAAAATATGCAGTGCTAAGTTTTGATAAAGATGATGTTTTGGGCTGGGCGCGGTGGCTCACGCCTGTAATCCCAGCACTTTGGGAGGCCGAGGCGGGCGGATCACAAGGTCAGGAGATCGAGACCATCCTGGCTAACACGGTGAAACCCCGTCTCTACTAAAAAATACAAAAAATTAGCCAGGCATGGTAGCGGGCGCCTGTAGTCCCAGCTACTCAGGAGGCTGAGGCAGGAGAATGGCGTGAACCCGGGAGGCGGAGCTTGCAGTGAGCCGAGATCGCGCCACTGCACTCCAGCCTGGGCGACAGAGCGAGACTCCGTCTCAAAAAAAAAAAAAAAAAAAAAAAAAGATGATGTTTTGAAATGCCCATGATTTTGATTAGGGTTCAGGAATACTCAAGAATATAAAGTTCAAATCATTTACTTTAATTATACAGTATAAATAGCTAAGGGTCTGGGAACAAATATTATTGTCATGTTTTACTTTCCATGAAGCCTAGTAAATTATTCATTTGGGATTACATTTAAAGTGAATGGATTGTAATTCTTCTATTTATGAGGTAGTAATCACATAGGTATAAGCATATTTTAGTGTAGCTTTTTTTTAACTCAACTACCTCCATCTGTACCATGGTGTGCAAGCTGTACTTTTTCTAAATTGCTTACTCTGAGATAGCCAAAATAATATGCATAGTGTATCTATAGTTGGTGCTTTCTAAAAAAAGGCAAATATAATCATTTAGAAGATATTTTTGCAGGGATAAAGGATTGAAAGTGTGCGGCAAGCAAGTGGCAACACTGTTCACTGAGTTATCATGGCTATGTGCACATGTTACCTGAATCTTCCAAATGAACAGACAACCTGATCAGTTCATTGAGCTGCTTCTTGAGATCACACAGTTAATTCTCAATAATTCAGGTTTCATAGATTATCATAATAATATTGGCATATGTTAGTGTGACAAATGCAAATCATCTGTTTATTCAGATTCTGTACAGGATTCAGCTACAATATGAGCCTAAGCTAAATTTGATGTACCTTTGAGAATAAAATATTTTAAGAAACTTAAGTTTATTTCAGGTTGATTTTATCCCAGCCTTTCCTTTCAACAGAAATGCACTCTAGACATATACTTTACAATTTTGTTTGATCTTTGTTGGACGCGCAGTAGTAAAATACAATATGGAAAGGAGAAAAAAATAAACATTTTCATAAAGTCATGCTGACATTACAACAATTTTATAGAAACACAGGCACGTTGGTATGTAAGCTCCAATTTGGAAAAGTTGAGTGAACTTGAAGATGGATGAATCCTGTTCCCAATTGCACCTTAAAAGTTGTCACTAAACAAAAAACAGATGTTTTGTTTCGGCTCCATTCAAAACACTTACAAATTCTTTATAAATAAAGTTTGTTTGAGGATCCTGAAGAAAACAATCATGTTTTAGTTAAATCCTACATATTTGTGTGATTTTTATTAATGTTAACAAGGCCATATATAAGAAGCACATATGAATTATAAGAGGAGCAACATAGGTATATGTGAGAAGAGAATGTCGAGGGACGTTACAGGTCTCAGAATCAAGTTAATCTTAACTTTTTTAAGTCATAAAACCTTTCCAGCTAATGCCCTTCCTCCATCTTTTGCTCAACACTGTTAAAAAGTGTGGGGAAACAGCTGCCTTGTATGGTTTTAAAGGTAACAGAATTACTAGTATCTCACAAACTGTGAAGAGATGTGTAGTAATGTGTAAGCAACGTCTTGATTGGTTAATCCTTTTTTGGATAGATTCAGCCTCCTTTAAAAGCGAGCTTGAAAGGAAAGTTGAGGCCATATAGATTTCATCAGGTTGTTAGATACACATTAATACATCCCTCATGCAAAGAGTAAACTTTGCATTAAGGAACACAAACATTAGCTGTCCCATATTTCGATGTAACAATTTCTTCCCTACACACTCATAGCTCAACAAAAGTTCATAATTATCCACAACAATGAGATTGTAGAGTGAACCACATTTTTAAGGGCCTAAGTGCCTGTGGAACTGTCATTTTAAGTTTTGGAAACAGTTTGATGAAAAGAAAAACTAAATAAAAATTTCTGAGCACTTTCAAATAGAAACAAAAATCATACTACTTTAGAATTCCCCAATGAAACCAATTTGGTACCTAGTGGAGTAACATTTACACATATTTATACACAGTTAACTTCTCATCCTATTTACTTGCACTTTGGGGGACAGGAGAGGGGAGAGGGTGTGGGAAGCTATTGCTTTATTTATCTTAACACCTATTTGCCAAGGATACCAGGCAACAGAATTAATACAAAGAGAAAGTAAATCTACCAGGGCCCCACCCTGGTGATTTAAGGGCAGTAAAGTCATTATTCAAGGCTAATTATGAATGTATGTGATTTTTGTCTCATGTCTTTACTTTAGAATCTAACTTTCTCATCAAATGTAAACTCATTGTATTATGTATTTTTCTTAAAGTGTTCAGATAGAGTTCTTACTGCTTACATTTAACCTCTCATCTCAGCTGACAGAAATTATTTCTGACGAATTGCTTTCTGTCAGACTTAGGGAACAGCAACTCCTTAAGCAAAGTCTCAAGTTAAAGAAGCCCCTCATGTTTTAAGTTTGTAACGGAATGTTTTAACTATGGAAACTCCTTTGTCAGACTCTTGGAGAGCCTTTGTTCCCTCAGTTTTTGGGATTCACATTGAATATAAAAGAAAATAAGTCTAATTTTCCATTTCAAGAGATGCAGGGAGTGCAATCTCCCAATATGCAGCAGGGGTGGAGGGAAAAAATTCCGCTCAAATTCCTTCATCTGCTGTTGTTCACCTTGGTTTTCCTTATGCATGTATATTTATTTGCTGACCAAGGAAAAATGTTCCATTGCTTTCATTTCCAAAATGCTTACCATTCTGAGGCTGTATGAAGAGGAATCTTACACAAGATTTAGGACAAAATGTAGAGCATTATATTACTAGTGCAGTCAGAAAATACTTTAGAATCTAATATTAGGCGTCTTTAATTTAAACCCATCAAATATATTCACCTGTAGGGAACTTTTACTCCTTATTTTTTATATGTGATTTCTAGAATCCCATCCTCCATTCCTCTGCTTTGTATCTGCTCCTTCAAACCTTAACATCTTTCCTGATCTCCTACACAAGATATTTTTGCTAAATCTTTGTATCACTCTTGACTTCTCCAGCCATTTTCTGAGGTCTAATGAGCCAGAGAAGAGAGAGGAGAGAGAACGATACTCCCATAACCACTGTGGTCTATCAAGATTTGGGACTATTAAAAAAGAATAAGATCATGTCCTTTGAGCAACATGGATGCATCTTGGGGCCACTATCCTAAGCCAATTAACACAGGAACAGAAAACCAAATACCACATGTTCTCATTTATAAGTGGGAGCTAAGCATTTGGGTGCACATGGACATAAACATGGGAACAATAGACACTGGGGACTACTAGACAAGGGAAGGATGGGATAGGGCATGGACTGAAAAACTACTTATTGTGTACCTATGCTCACTACCTGGATGACAGGATCATTTATACCCTAAACCTCAGCATCACACAATATACCCTTGTAATAAACCTGCATGTGTACTCCCTGAATCTAAAATAAAAGTTGAAATTATTTTAAAAAGAAGATTTGGGGCCAGGCACAGTGGCCCATGCCTGTAATCCTAACACTTTGAAGGCCAAGGTGGGTGGACCACCTGAGATCAGGAGTTCGAGACCAGCCTGGACAACATAGTGAAACAACATCTCTACTAAAAATAAAAAATTATCCGGGTGTGGTGGTGGGTACCTGTAATTCCAGCTACTCAGGAGGCTGAGGCAGGAGACTCGCTTGAACACGGGAGGCGGAGGTTGCAGTGAGCCAAGATCACACCATTGGACTCCAGCCTGGGCAACAAGAGTAAGACAACATCTCAAAAAAAATAATTAATTAATTAAATAATTAATTAAGATTTGGGTCTAAACAGAGATTTTCTTTTCCTAAGTATAATTCAGATGTCTGCAGGGGCTAAACAAAAAACATAAATTCATGGATTAGACATCAGTGAACTTGTGTTTCCCATTTTTTAGGAAAATCCAAAATTCCATAATGTTCTTTGAAATCTCACAGTGTATAAATATTGGAAATCAACCTTTTAAATATTATAAAACACTGTACAAAGCAAATATAATACATTTCCAAGTTATCGCTAGCCTATAGGATACTGTTTAAGGGAGAAAAGCTGTTCACTGTTATCATGAGTTATGTGCACGTTAGATGATTTTTCCTAATGAACACAAGACAACCTACTTTAATTATTACTTTAATTATATATGACAGTATAGATGGCTAACAGGTTTCAAGACCTCTCTCATAAATATACAATTTTATCCTCCTAGTTATGCTATTTATAGACCTCTGTTTCTAATCCTCCAGAAGGAAGATGCATTAGGCTCTCAGCATTTGCTCTATACAGAGTTTTTGACTAGAAAATCAATTTAAAGTAGAAATGTAAAAGGGAAATACATTTAATTTGTCTTTCCCTAAATCCTCCAATCTTCTGGGTTCATTTCTATAAATTTCTAAATTAAATAAGTCAGATCTATGTTCCATATACTGAGGGACACTCTGAATTCTAAGATTTTTTCATGATTCCCCCAGGAGATTACAGTCCTTTGAAATACAACTGCTGACAGCTGCTGTACTCCTTTTGATCACTACTCCCCACACAAAGCCTTATCCTTTATTCTCCAAAGAACCGATAATGCAAGACCATTGCATGTAATACTCAATGTTTAAGATTAAATGAGAAAGGACTCAGTATGTTCAAAATAGGAAAGAAGTCTAAAAGATTATTAGACATTATTTTTCTTAGGATTCTTCTACCGTCCATGCCCCTATCCCCTGTCTGACATCATTTCTTGGCTTACTTGCATACTGTCTCTAAGCAGATATGTCTACCATCTTTTTTACTAATCCAGTTGCAGGTATCCTATCCAGTTTTTCTTTCTCTCTGTTTCTTTGCTTTGTTTTGTCTGTTTCGTAATTTGCTTGCCTTCTATTAAAAGAAGCCAATATTGTATTAAATTCAACAACCTTCACTTACTAAGTGCATAAGTGTCCAAATTATTTAATTCTTAACTTATTAAATGGAGATAAAATATCTATTAACAGAGCTGTGGTTGTGAAGATTAGATATACAATGTGGACAAAACATCTCATATAGTGTCCAACACATGGAGCATACTCAAGAAATTGTCTTTCCCCCACACTACGCTTTGCCTGCTTCTCTGCAACCTTTAATCCTCATTTCTTCTCCCTACATTTCTGTTTAGTCCAAAGTGAAGCAATTTCCTCTTGGTCACCTCTGGTCACCAATGATGTAAATTCTATCATATTTTGCTTCCAAGCTTTATTTTAAAGTTGAAGACACACTTCTGATGTCAATAAATGGCTTCCTGACTATTTCCTGAATAAGAATTACACCTTTCTGAGAATAATGCTGTAATTAAGTCTGTGGAGTTTCCCTCTTTCCATCCAGGATTAACCAACTTTCCTGGGGTTAACTCCTGAAACCCTGCAAACCCTAAGCAGCTATTAGCTCTTTTTGTAATAATTTATTCTTCCTATAATCCATTGCAGTTCTTTCATTCCTCCAAACGTTTCTACCTCACTTCTCATCTCAGACCCTGGCCTTTATTGCAAGTTAGAAGATAATTACTTTGGCTGGTTTTCCTTCTCTCCAGTTTACCACTTCTGATGTTACCATTTAAAACTTTCATTATTTTACATGTAAAAGAATGTACATGTAACTATTTTAATCACTATTCTCCACACAAGGCTTGTTATGGTTTGGCTGTGTCCTCACCCAAATCTCATCTTGAATTGTAGCTCCCACAATTCTCATGTGTTGTGGGAGAGACCAGTGGGAGATAATTGATCGTGGGGGCAGCTTCCCCCATACTATTCTCGCAGTAGTGAATAAGCCTCATGAGATGCAATCTGATGGTTTTATAAGGGGAAACCCCTTTCACTTGGTTCTCATTCTCTCTTGCTTTCCGCCACGTAAGATATACCTTTCACTTTCCAACATGATTGTGAGGCCTCCCCAGCCACGTGGAACTGTGAGCCTGTTAAACCTCTTTTTCTTTATAAATTACCCAGTCTCGGGTATGTCTTTATCAGCAGTGTGAAAATGGACTCATACAAGGGCTTTTCCTTTATTCTCCAAACAACAGATAATGCAAGGCCATTGCATGTAACAGATATTCGATGTTTAAGATTAAATGAGGGAGAACTCAGTATATCCAAAATAGGAAAGAGGTCTAAAAAGAATGTTAGACATTAATTTTCTTAAGATTCTTCTATGTCCCTGCACCCTATCTGACATCATTTCTTGGCTCACTCACATGCTGTCTGTAAGCAGATATGTCACCATCTTTTTTACTAATCCAGTTCCAGGTATCCAGTTCCAGGTTTTCTGTGACAAAACCCATAGCGAATAGTATCTACAATAATTTAAGAAAGATGTTTTTGCCATGAGAATACTTTAATAATTTTGTTTCCCATGACAAACAAAATCCCCACAAAAACTCAACAAGGCCAAAATAGTACAAGGTTTTAAACAACTGGATTTTTTTGGTAATAATTCAAATGAGCTGGACTTTTGAAGCTCAGCAGCATGCACCTGCAGATTAAAGAAACACGATGATGTCATTGTTTAATGTAGCTAAATAACTAAATGCCGTGATACTCACTCTGTTTGGGAGTAAACGTGAAACAGTTGTTGCTTTGGATTTTTTAACTGGATCATGATGCTGTACATAGGAGTGTTTTGTAAGGAAGAGGAATGTAAAGTCTCTGGTATAGAAACACAGACTAGAATGATATAGATTTAAATATTAAATTATCCCAGTTTCCAGATATTAATAAATTTGGCACTGAGAATCACTATGGAATCCCAAATTCATGTGAGATGTCAACAGATCATGAATACAACATCACCACATGACTCCTCTGGAATGTTTTCAAGATTGATCATACACTTTTCTGTCCTTAGTATATTACAGATGGGCAGAATATGTGAAACCCAATTTTCTCTACCAGATTTAAGAAGTAACTGGTACTCAGGATTTCTGACTTTCCCACACATAGGAGAGTTGCCCTATAGCTTGATGCTGTGACTGTTCCTAAGAGGATATTGACCTAGAGTTCCATGTAAGTCAAGAGAGACCTTTGCAGAAGGGTGTTAAGGAAAAACAGTTTAAAAAAATATTTTTTCTTCCAGCTGCTGAAATTGTATAAAATTCAATAATCCCCATTAAAGAAAACAGCTCTTCCAAACTGCTGTTCATCAGTGAAGGTTAATATTAGTAACGATAATCTTTCTTACCATTTACTATACTTCGACTTGGCGAGTGAACACAGGCTAAGAAGGGAATGGCCACAATGGTTTACTTCCCTATGTACCTCAGAAAATACAAGCTTTTTGAAATACAAAATGTAACATTTGAATTTGGAAGTAAAATAAACAACAAAAAAGCAGAACTATAAAGTATTATATAATATAAAAGGAAAGGACAGTGCTGGCCCAGATGCCCAAAATATTCTCCTTCTTTCTACCTGAACTGTCACTTCCATTTGTGCACTTTATAAAATTCCACTTTATTTGCACTAATGAACATTTCATTTCCAATAGATGAGTCTTTAATAGCTTCTCTTTAGAACACATGCACATGCTAAGTTTAGGGCTGGCTTGGACATTGCTTTCATTTATAATAGATAAAAGTTAGTATAAAAGTAACCAGAAGGTTTTGGTCAACTGTAAGTATTACATGAACTAAAATTTTCAAAAAAGTTTGTTAAAAATTTAAGTAGTCTTTAATTAAAACAGCAATATCAGAAAAATACCTTTTTGTTATCTGCAAAGAAGGCCACACTTGAATATTAAATTAAGTTGTAATCATCATGAGTTTATGTCTTGCAGTTCTAATGATTTTCAAAAATTATTTTCTATTTTACATTCATCTTAAACATGTTTCTTGCTAAACACATCTTCCTACACACCCTAACAACATTTTTCATCATCTATTCTGGAGGTTTCAACCTGGAGTGCCCCAGAGGCCTAGGTATTAAGTTCTACTGTATGAAATTGCCATTTTTCTAGTTCAAACATGGTCAAACATCAACAATTTTCTATGGGTAGAGTGGTTAGGATATGTAATAAATTAGGTAAGTTATTTTTATTATTTTTTAATTTCAAAGGTTAAACATTGGCTATCTCATGGTGATCAAAAGCTATGAATGACAATTAATTATATAATTTTATTTAATATATTATATTTTATTTAATATAAATTGGAAATAGAAAAATCCACTAAAGGCTGTTATAAACTTGGAAACTTTGCATAGCAGCTTTAAAATTTGTCATAATAAAAGTCCAAACCACTTAGATATTTAAAAATAGAACTTTATTTTCTTCTTACTGAATTGAACATAATTCTCAAAGGCCCATTTCTTTCAGCAGGAGGAAACAATTTAGATAATAAACTTATTTATTTCCTGTTTACATAAAAGTTTCTTTCTGAACAACTAATCAATTTCAGAGTTCTTTCCTTCCCTATTTTCCTTTTCTTGAGAGGCAATCTAAGCTTGTTGATTAATTTCTCCATCCTTCTCTCCTTCTCTCATCTGAGAAAATGCAGAGAACACCAGACAGTCTTGTCCTGCTGTCCCTTCTCTCTGCTCAGCTCCCACATCCTCTCTTTAGATACCAGCCAGGCCTCTTGTCTCCACAGACTCTACTATGGAGTCCTTCATCCCTCACTGTGACAATTCCTTGACAAGCATAGCATTTCCAATTCTTTGCTGCTTTCATCCCATACTTGACTTGATTTGATCTCTTTCAAATCCAGCAGAAAAATTTAAATGGTGAGTGGAGACAGGGGATTTATCTCTGGACCTTTTCTGGCTAGACATACACTGCTGACATTTTCTCTATTGCAACAGTCTCATGTTGGCATAGGACAATCCGCAACAATGGATTTCCCCATAGTTCCAGACAAGTTCTGGGGCAAATATCACTGATTGAGATAATAGTTGTAAATAATATGATTAATAATATAATTATTGCCATAGTACTCTCATTTATATATTTTCTTTCATGTGTTTTTATAACCCTGTTAGTTATTTCAAGGGTAGAATTAATATATGTTTAATATGACTAGACACTATGACTTATAATTTATTTCACTGATGCTCACAACGACACTACCAAAATACAGAACTGCACCATTTTATTCATGAGAAGACTAAGGTTCCATAATGATGTGATTATTCAAGTTTACTTTATGTTAAATATTGAAGCTAAAATTTAATCTAGAGCTTTCTTAGTCTTTCCTATTGCATCACATATTTTATATAAACTATGTCTAATATACATATATATTGCATCATTTAAATAAATTTTAAAACTATTGGAAAAATAACAAATAATACTCTGAAATGATAAGTATACATTTCCAAATTTCAAACCATTGGGTAAACACACATGTATATTAAAAAGAAACATTGAAACTCCCTCTAATAACTTTTTCATCACAGGACACAATTTATGGCTCTCTGCCATTTAATAATGAGAGTTTCCTGTGATATTACTGGCATTGGGTATAATAACTCATGCTCCAAAACCAATTTATATAGAAAACATTCAATACAAAGATGATTGAGTTCCTGTGTTTCTCTTTTGTCATTTGGCAGCAATTTCTGTGAAACTCAGGAAAGATAGAGTGAAAAATGATGGTAGCTATTTCTTCAAGATATGTGGAAAAGACCAAGAGTATTGAAAGCATGTGTCAGTTAGAATCCTTCATTTTAGATTACACTCATGGAAGGCAGTGACAGAAATCCCTAAGAAGATATCTATCTCTAAGGATTAATAGAGTTTTATGTGAGGATTATTCTTGGTCAAAAAAAAATGTTGTTTTTCTTCTTTCAGTTGCTTATTTGACAACCACTGTGACCACAAACAACATTGGACATTCGAATCTGTTTTTCCAAAGTGTGTGAATGTTGGACTGAGCTTTGGTAATTTTAAACTTATTTTGAAGGCTCAATAGAATCTGTAACCTCTATTCACCAACACTAAAACAATGTATCAGTTACCTCTATCATTGGATATAAAAGTTTTGTGGATGCAATAATTGTAAGGTGATTGGCAATGTCATTTGTAGAACTGACAATTTTGATTTCTTTTAGTATCTTTCATAACCCTTTGAAGGTAAGAGCATAACATCATGTCTTTTCATTCATGCTTAGAACATTCTGAAGTGTTTTTTACTTCAATAATCAACATTGTGGTTATCTCCCCAACAATCATTCCAAACATTCTCCATCATGAAGCAGCAGCATGACTTGGGTGGTATTGGGTAGACTTTGAGTGGTCCACATACTTCAGGGTAATCCCAAACTCCTTATTATACCTAGTGTCACAACAATCTATACAGCAAACGGCTATAGCAAACTAGGACCTATCCAATTAATACATGGCTTTTTCCCAGCTGCTGAGATTAGTTCAAGATTAACCAAATGATCACAAAAGTTGGCATTTATGAAGATAATTCAGAACTGGATGCCCATCCCCTCCTAATGATGTGCTTTGTGGATGTGCCATCAGTTTTCCACCCTGAGGGACACCAGTTTGAAAATAAAACTGAAATACAGAGTAGGCCAGAGACTGGATCAAACTATGTACAGACGTGTTATTTCTCTGAAACTTTTAAACTATATGCATAAATCCTTTTATAATTTAAGCATTTTCAGATAGATTTTGTATAACAAATTAAATAGTCACAATTAATTCTCTCCTGAAATACAAAGTATAGTCAGAACAAATATCTGTAACCAAAATTATCGTCATACCTTATGACTTTCAGTTTAGTTATATATTTTAGACTATTTGCTGAGTGATTAAAATGAATAAGTATATTTTTATTAATTTGCTGAAAAAGTTGAAAGCAAAGAATACTGTATTTTAAGCCACATACTTAGCTGATTAGCCCCTCATGTCCTCCTTCTCTGTAGTCAAATAATCTGAAGATGAGAATGGAATCATAACGATCATCTGGTTTAGCAATCTGTCTGTCTGCACCTTAAATTCTATTCTTACTGGTCATTAACCAACCCTTCATCACTTCCAGTAACAGGAAACTCACACCTCCTGAGACAGCCTCTAGCCTCTCCTAACCTCATTCAAAATTTGTTGGTGAGCTTTATTTTTACTCATATTAGAATGCTGGGTACTACTTTACTGAAAATCCTGTAAACTTTAATGATATTTTCCTCTCTATCTGGATAATAATTTTTCACATCTCTATCACTTCAAGCAAAGCATCCTATTCTAGTTGCCTTTAAAATTCCTGCTGCTTTTATGTAAGGTTATTAGTTCTATTTCTTTTTAATCAATCCACTTCAAGCTGTTACATTTTTCTAACATCAATTATGATTGCTGAATTAAGTAAAGGAGTTGTGCTTTTCTGTACTGAACAGCCAAAAATTACTAAAACTGGCTGTGTCATAGACGGCCAGTAACAAGTTGCCAATTGCCTAACAAGATAGTTAACTTTTCTTCCTTGCTGAAAGAACTCCTTCTTTGTACAATATGGTGGGCATGAATCGCAAAAAAATGACATTTCTCTATGTCCTTTATATGTATGAGTGATAGAAGTGGTCATGAGACACAGTGCTGGCCAAAGAGAAATAAGAGGTTTTTCAGTGTAACATTCATGAAAGGAATGGCTTCAAATAGTATGTGTCTTTTGCTCTGTGTCCTTTGCCTTGAACAGAAAATTAGAAGAAACATGAGACATGTTGGAATTATAAAACATCACCCATAGATAGCCTATCTTTGAGCTTATTATTATGTGAGAAATATAAAAGCCTTAATTTTTGAGCAAATACTTTCCAATAACAGCTGAATAGTAGTAATAACCTCTTGTCATCAAAATAAATTTGTGTCCTTAGCAAATAGACAACAGTGTAAAATTATAAAAATACTGTAAAGTTAGCAAAGATGTGGAATGCTTAAGCATTTAAAAATTACATTGATCCCTTTTTATGAATGTGCCCTTCCATCTCCAGGGAGTTGTCCAAGTAAGCCTTGGATGGTAATTTAATTATGATATGGTTTCTTTCATACTCAGATCTTGCAATAAATAAAAAAAGATATAGACATCTTATGTTTCTATCTATCAGTTGTTTTGAGACACTTAACTAAGTTGCTATTTACACTAAAGGAAAATATATATGTGCGTATATGTATGGACTATTTGTTTATACCATACATATACATACACACACACACACAGACAGGAGATACAGCAGGGAATAAACAAGAACATAGGCATGAAAAATATGAAAAAGTCCTGAGAGTAGATTAAAAATAAAATATTAGGAAAATTAGAGAAGTTTTAGCCTTGGGATTAAAGTATTTACAATGACCCAAATATCCATCACCAAGGGACTAGGAATATTTAAATGTCAGTAGTAATTTGAAGAGAAACACATACACTATTCCACTTGCTTTTGTTTCTACAAACTTTGATTTTAGCTAATTTACCTACGACTTCAATTCACTCATGTATTTGATTTTATGGTATACTAACAGTAAGTAATAATCATTCTCATCACTCTGATCATCATCATCACTATCATCACCACCACCACCAAGGCTTGTGAAAATTATTATACCATACTCAAAGTGATTTAATTGGAGAAATACTATTATTCTTATTTTATAGATTGGGGAAATGTGAATCAAATATAGTAAATATTTTAGGCCATGTAATGTAGTTAGTGGCAAATGTAGAAGGACAAAATGTAGAAGGACAAAGACCTAGTGGTAGACTTTAGTCAGGCTCACTGCCTCGGCATATCAAAGTAGTCATATTTCGAGAGCCAAATTTAAAGAATAAGACTGATACTATCACTAATGGCATGTCCATCACAAATGCATACCTGAAAAAATTATGTTATCACAGTCTAATATTGGGTTTCAATTGCTGACCACGGAGTAATTGTCTCACTTGAATCTTAGTGTGCTCCCTCTCATACACAAAGACTTTCCTACCACCCGAAATGCAATATGTACTGTTACTGTTCTCTTCAAGGGAGAAGTGACCCAGAATGATAATAGGTCAGGGGCACAAAGTGTACTACATATGAACATAACAAGAATTTGTTGACCTAGTTGGTGTTTCTGATTGTTTGCCCAGTTTCTGTGTCATTGATGCCTTCTCTAATGTTTGATTTTTGATCTTCCATTTACTTTGGGACTATTTATTTTGTTTTTGTTTGTCCCCATCTTTTTAGCATGGGACCTTATATCACTAGCTTAATGTCTTTCTTTTTTTCTTATATAAACATTGTTAATTCTCAATTTTCTCTAAATACGCCTTCTGTTGCATCCAACAAAGTTTGATATACTGTATTTTCACTTTCATGTAGTTAGAAATATTTCCTAATTTTCCTTCTTATTTATTTTTGACACACAAGTTATGAATTAGTAAGTTGATCAGTTCCCCAATATTTGTAAACTTTCATGCTGTCTTATTGTTAATGACTTCTAATTTAGCATAATTGTTGTCAGAGAGTATGAGTTAAATTGTTTTATTTTGCTGTCACTTTTTAAAAGACCCAACATTTTCTATTTTGGTGAAGATTTCATGTGCGTTTAAAAATAGTGTACATGTGTAATTTTTAAAGGTGTCAAGAATTGTGAAGGAGCTGAGATTTTATCCAACTTTCAAGCTAACAAGCACGCTACAGGTTTGTGGATGCTGACTGAAGGCAAGAGACTCTTCTGTCAGAGACAAAGTTTAATTTATTACTCACAGCAAAAGCAGTAGCCAGAGTATTGATCCTGGGTGTGTCTGTAAGGGTATTGCCAAAGGAGATTAACATTTGAGTCAGTGGGCTGGGGAAGGCAGATCCGCCCTTAATCTTGTGGGCACGATCGAATCAGCTTCCAGCAACTATAAAGCAGGCAGACAAACATGAAAAGGCAAGACTGGCCTAGCCTCCCAGAGCACATCTTTCTTCCGTGCTTGATGCTTTCTGCCCTTGGACATCAGACTCCAATTTCTTCAGTTTTGAGATTCAGACTGGCTCTCCTTTCTCCTCAAGCTTGCCTATTTTTTTAGGTTTGGAAAGTTCTCACTTATGATCTCTTTGAGTAAATTTTCTCTCTCTCTCTCTGCTTCCTCCTTAAGGCCACTGACTCTTAGATTTGCCCTTTTGAGGCTATTTTCTAGATCTTGTAGGTGTGCTTCATTCATTCTTATTTTTCTATTGTGGGACCTTGTGATTGTGTAAGTTAATACTTAGTAAACTCCCACATATACATATAACTTTTAAATCATATATATACACACACACACACACACACACACACACACACAGAACTAATTAGATATAGATATATATCCAATAGCCAATATATCTTCTAGATAACCCCAATTAATACAGCTGGCTTTAAGTGTAACCCAGCACAATCCTAACAGTAGTGACCACAGGAATGCTTGCATCACTTATTCTCCAACTCCAGGCAGCTCAACATAGAAAGACTCCATTTGTTTGAGGGAAACTAAAGAAAGAGAACAAGAGACTCTTCCCAGTAATCCAGAGAATTCTTCTGGATCTTACCCAAGACCACCAAGGTGGTACCTCTACAGGTCTATAAGAGTCACAGCATTACTGAGCTTGGGGTGCCCCCAATACACTTATAGACCAAAGACTTAGTTTACAACACTCAATTCTCTTTGAATACTTGGAAATCATCCTCAAGAAACACAGATACCAACAAGCCCAGACTGAACTCAAGATTAGAATAAATACCTACTCTACAATGACAATACATTAACAAACAACCACTAGTGTCAAGACCATACAGAAAAACATGACCTCACCAATAACACACCAGCGACAAGACCATACAGAAAAACATGACCTCACCAATAACGCACCAGCAACCAATTACAGAGTGACAGAAATATGTGACCTTTCAAACAGAGTATTGAAAATAACTGTTTTAAAGTAGCTCAACAAAATTCAAGATAACACAGAGAAGAAATTTAGAGTCCTATCAGGTAAATTTATATAAGTATAGCTATTCCTGCTCTTTTTTTGGTTTCTACTTACATGAAATACCTTTTTCCATCCGTTTGTTTTCAGTCTTTGTCTTCATAAGTGAAGTGTGTTTCTTATAGACAACAGATCATTTTTTTAAAAATCCATTTTGTCTCTGTTTTTCTTTTGATTGGAGTGTTTAGTCTATTTACATTTAATATTATTATTGAAAAGTAAGGACTTACTCCTGCCATTTTGCAAATTTAACAAAGAGGTTTAAATGATTAAAAAGAATCAAGCAAAAAATTCCGGAGATAAAAAATTCACTTGACAAACTGAAAAATGTACTGAAGTCTTGAACAGCAGAATTGATCAAGCAGAAGAAATAATTAGTGAGCTTGAAGACAGGCTATTTGAAAATACACACTCAGAGGAGACAAAAGAAAAATAAGAATGAATGAAGCACACCTACAAGATCTAGAAAATAGCCTCAAAAGGGCAAATCTAAGAGTCACTGGCCTTAAGGAGGAAGCAGAGAGAGAGAGAGATCAGGGTAGAAAATTTACTCAAAGAGATCATAAGTGAGAACTTTCCAAACCTAAAAAAAAAAATCAGTTTTAAAGCACAAAAAGGTTATAGAACACCAAACAGTTTTAACCCAAATAAAACTGTCTTAAGACACATAATAATCAAATTCCTAAAGTTTAAGGATAAATAAAGGACCCTAAATGCAGAAGAGAAGGGAAAAAAAATTACACAGAAAGGATCTGGCAGCAGATGCCTCAGTAGAAATCTTACTGGCCAAGATAGTGGCATGAAATATTTCAAGTCCTGAGGAAAAAAACAAAACAAACAAACAAACAAACAAAAACCTTTCATCCTAGAATAGTATATCCAGAGAAAATATCCTTCAAACATGAAGAAGAAATAAAAACTTTCGGCCGGGCGCGGTGGCTCACGCCTGTAATCCCAGCACTTTGGGAGGCCGAGGCGGGTGGATCATGAGGTCAGGAGATCGAGACCATCCTGGCTAACAAGGTGAAACCCCGTCTCTACTAAAAATACAAAAAATTAGCCGGGCGCGGTGGCGGGCGCCTGTAGTCCCAGCTACTCGGGAGGCTGAGGCAGGAGAATGGCGTGAACCCGGGAAGCGGAGCTTGCAGTGAGCCGAGATTGCGCCACTGCAGTCCGCAGTCCGGCCTGGGCGACAGAGCGAGACTCCGTCTCAAAAAAAAAAAAAAAAAAAAAAAAAACTTTCCCAAACAAAAGCTAAGGAATTTCATCAACACCAGACCTATCCTACAAGAAATGCTCAAACGAGTTCTTCAATCTGGAAGAAAAGGATGTTAATGCGCAATAAGAAATCATCTGAGGAAAAAACTTACTAGTAACAGTAAGTACACAGACAAATACAGAATATTATATCATTGTAATTGTGGTGTATAAACTATGCATATCTTCAGTGGAAAGAATAAAAGAAACCTGTCAAATATAATAGCTACAAATTTAAAAAATGGAAAGAATAATAAGACATGAAAGATATGACTACAAACAAAAAGTTAAAGAGCATGAGGGGTGAAGTTAAAGTGTAGAATTTTATTAGTTTTCTCTTTGCTTGTTTGTTTGTGCAATCAGAATTAAGTTGTCATCAGCTTAAAATAATGGGTTATAAGATGTTATATGCAAGTTTCATGGTAATCTTAAATCAGAAAACTTACAACTGATACACAAAAATATATAAAGTAAGAAATTAAAACATTCCACCAGAGAAAATCACTTGCACAAAAAGGAAGATAGAAAGGGAGAAAGAAGAAAGAGGAGACCAGAAAACAACAGCAAAATGGCACGAGTTAGTCCTTACTTTTCAATAATAATATTAAATGTAAATAGATCAAACACTACAATTAAAAGACAAACAGAGACCAAATGGATTTTTTAAAAAAATGATCTGTTGTCTATAAGAAACACATTTCACTTATGAAGACAAATACTGAAAATAAAGGGATGGAAAAAAGATATTTCATGTAAGTAGAAACCAAAAAAGAGCAGAAGTAGCTATACTTATATAAATAGATATCATGACAAAAAATATATAGGAAGAGACAAAGAAGGTCATTATATAATGCTAACGGGATCATTTTAGCAAGAGGATGTAACAATTATAAATATACATGGACCCAACAATGGATCATTCAGATATATAAAGCAAATATTATTAAAGCAAAAGAGAGAGATAGACCCCAATACAACAACAGCTGGAAACTTCAATACCCCACTTTAAGCAATGGACAGATCATCCAGACAAAATCAACAAAGAAACATCAGACCTAAACTCTTCTACTGACAAAATGATCCTAATAGATATTTACAGAACGTTTCATCCAATAGCTGAAGAATACACATTCTTCTTTTCAGTACATGAGTCATTCTAAGGGATAGATGGTATATTACTCCACAAAACAAGTCCTTAAATTTCAAAAAATATTGAACACATATCAAGTACCTTCTCTGACCACAGTGGAATAAAGCTAAAAATCAATAACAAGGGGAACTTTGGAAACTATCTAAACACAGGGAAACTAAACAATTTGCTCCTGAATTACCAGTGGATCAATGAAGAAATAAAAAACAAAATTTTTAAATTTATTGAAACAAAAAATAATGGAAACACAACATACCATAACCTATGGGATACAGCAAAAACATTACTAAGAAATAATAGAAAAACTTCAAATAAAAAACCTCACAATTTATCTTAATAAGAAAAGCAAGAGCAAACCAAACTCAAAATTAGTAGATGAAACGAAAAATAGAAAAGATCAACACAACAAAAAAAATGGATTTTTTGAGAAGATAAACAAAATTGAGAAAACCTTCACCAAACTAAGAAAAAAAGAAAGAATACCCAAATAAATAAAGTCAGAGATGAAAAGGAATACATTACAACTGATAGCACAGAAATTCAAGAATCATTAGAGATTATTATAAACAATCACATTTCAATACATTGGAAAACCTACAAGTAATGATAAAATTCCTTTATATATTTAACCCACCAAGACTGAACCATAAACAAATCCAACACATGAATAGACCAATAACAAATAATGACATTTAAGCCATAATAAAAAGTGTCCCAGCAAGGAAAGCCTGATGGTATAATTGCTGAGTTTTACCAAACATTCAAATAACTAATACCAATTCTACTCAAATTATTCCAAAAAAAAATAGAAGAGGGAATACTTCCAAACTCAGTCTACAAGGCCAGTATTTCCCTGACACCAAAACCAGATAAGGACCCATAAGGAGAGAGAGAGAGAGAGAGAGAGAGAGAGAGAGAGAGAGAGAGAAAGAAGAGAAGAGAAAAGGAAAAGAAAAAGAAAAAGGAAAGGAAAAGAAAAGAAAGAAAGAGAAAGAAAGAGAGAGAGGAAGGAAGGAAGGAGAAAGGAAAAATAAAAGAAAACTAGAGGCAATATCTCTGATGAACCTTAATGGAAAAATCCTCGATAAAATATTAGCAAATTGAATTTAACAACACATTAAAAAGATCGTTCACCATGACCAAGTGGGATTTATCCCAGGGACACAAGGGTAGTTCAACATATATAAATCAAACAATGTGATACATCACATGAAAAGATTGAAGGACAAAAACCATATGATCATTCCATTGGATGCAGAGAAATCATTTTATAAAATTCAACATCTATTAATGATAAAAAAACTCAAAAATCTGGGTATAGAATGAACATATCTCAATATAATAAAACCATGTACAATAGACCCATAGTTAGTATCATACTAAACAGGAAAAATACTGAAAGCCTTTTCTTGAAGTTGTAGAATAAGGATGCCCACTTTCACCACTGTTGTTCAGCATAGCCCTAGAAGTCCTAGTTATAGCAATTAGACAAGATGAAGAAATAAAAGGCCTCCGAGGTGGAAAGGAAGAAGTCAAATTATCTCTGTTTGTCAATAGTATAATCTTACATTTGGAAAAACCTAAAGACTTCACCAAAAAACTTTTAGAACTGATAAACAAATTCAGTAAAGTTGCAGGATACAAAATCAACATAAAAATTAGCAGCATTTCTATATGCCAAAAGTGTCTTAATTTCTGAAAAAGAAATTAAGACAGTAATTTGATTTATAATAACTATGGATGAAATAAAACACATTGGAATAAACAACCAAAACAATGAAACATCTCTATAATAAAAACTATAAAACATTGACAAGAGAAATTGCAGAATACATAAAACAATGGAAAGATATTTTATGTTGGTATAATTTGGCTCTGTGTCCCCACCCAAATCTCATGTTAAATTGTAATATCTAATGTTGGAAGTAGGGCCTTGTGGGAGGTGATTCAATAACTGAGGTTGTTCTTATGGTTTAGCACCATCCCCCTAGTGCTGTCTTCTGATAGATTTCTCCCAAGACATGCTTGTTTAAACGTGTATCATTTCTCCCCCTCTTTTTCCTCCTAATGCCATGAAAGACGTGCTTGCTTCCCCTTCACCTTTTGCCATAATTGTAAATTTCCTGAAGCCTCCTGATATTGTTTGGCTCTGTGTCCCCACCCAAATCTCATCTTGAATTGTACTTTGATAATTCCCATGTGTTGTGGGAGGGATCCGATATGAGATAATTGAATTATAGGGGTGGGTTCCCCACACTGTTCTCATGTTTGTGACTAAGTCTCACAAGATCTGATGGTTTTATCAGGGGCTTCTGCATTTGCTTCTTTCTCATTCTTTGCCACCACCACCTAAGAAGTGGCTTTCACCTTCTACCATGATCATGAGACCTCCCCAGGCACGTGGAACTGTGAGTCCATTAAACCTATTTTTCTCCCCAGTCTTGGGTATGTCTTTATCATCAATTTGAAAACAGACTAATACAGTAAATTTGTACCAGTAGAATGGGGTGCTGCTGAAAAAATACCCAATAATGTGGAAGCAACTTTGAAATTGGGTAATAGGCACAGGTTGGAACAGTTTGGAGGGCTCAGAAGAAGACAGGCAAATGTGGAAAAGGTTGAAACCTCCTAGAGACTTTTTGAATAGCTTTGTCCAAAATGCTGATAGTGATATGGGCAATAAAGTATAGGGTGAGGTGGTCTCAGACAGACTTGGGGAACTTGTTGGGAAGTGGAGCAAAGGTGATTCTGATTCTTGTTATGTCTCAGCAAAGAGACTGGTGGCATTTTGTCCCTGCCCTAGGGATTTGTGGAACTTTGAACTTGAGAGAGATGATTTAAGGTATCTGTTGAAAGAAATTTCTAAGCAGCAAAGCATTCAAGATGTTACTTGGGTGCTGTTAAAAGCATTCAGTTTTACAAGGGAAGCAGAGTGAAAAAGTTTGGAAAATTTGCAGCCTGACAATGTGATAGAAAAGAAAAACCCATTTTCTGAGGAGAAATTTAAACCAGCTGCAGAAATTTGCATACATAGCAAGGAGTCGAATGTTGACCCCCAAGAAATGGGGAAAATGTCTCCAGGGCATGTCAGAGGTCTTCAAAGCAACCCCTCCTATCACAGGCCCAGAGGCTTAGGAGGACAAAAATGGTTTCATGGGCAGGACCCAGGGCCCCCTGCTGGGGGGACTTGGTGGTCTGCATCCCAGCCACTCTAGCCATGGCTAAAGGGAGCCAAGGTTCAGCTCAGGCCATGGCTTCAGAGAGTGCAAGCCCCAAGCCTTGGTGGCTTCCATGTGGTGTTAAGCCTGCAGGTGCACAGAAGTCAAGAATTGAGGTTTGGGAACTTCTACCTACATTTCAGAGAATGTATGGAAATCCCTGGATGTCCAGGCAAAAGTTGGCTGCAGGAGCCGAGCCCTCATGGAGAACCTCTGCTAGGGCACTGCAGAAGGGAACTGTGGGGTTGAAGGTCCCACACAGAGTCCTTACTGGGGCATTACCTAGTGGAGCTGTGGGAAGAGAGCCACAGTCCTCCAGACCCAAGAATGATAGATCAACTGACAGCTTGCACCATGCAACTGGAAAAGCCACAGACACACAACACCAGCCCATGAAAGCAGCTTGGAGGCAGGCTGTGCCCTGCAAAGCCACAAGGGCAGAACTTTGTAAGACCATGGGAACCCACCTCCTGCATCAGTGTGTCCTGGATGTGAGACATGGAGTCAAAAGAAATCATTTTGGAACTTTAAGATTTGACTGCCCCACTGGATTTTGGACTTGCATGGGACCTGCAGCCCCTTTGTTTTGGCCAATTTCTCCCATTTGGAATGGCTGTATTTACTCAATGCCTGTACCCCCATTGTATCTAGGAAGTAACTAACTTGCTTTTGATTTTACAGGCTCATAGGCAGAAGGGACTTGCCTTGTCTCAGATAAGACTTTGTACTGTGGGCTTTCAAGTTAATGCTGAAATGAGTTAAGAGTTTGGGGGATTGTTGGGAAGGCAAGATTGGTTTTGAAATGTGAGGACATGAGATTTGGGAGGGGCCAGGGTGGAATTATATGGTTTTGCTCTCTATCCCCAGCCAAATTTCATCTTTAATTGTACTCCCATAATTCCCATGTATTGTGGGAGGGACCCATTGGGAAATAATTGAATATGGGGGCTGTTTCCCTCATACTGTTCTAGTGGTAGTAAATAAGTCTCACAAGATCTGATGGTTTTATAAGGGGTTTCTGCTTTTGCTTCTTTCTCATTCTCTCTTGCCACCACCATGCAGAAATGCCTTTCACCTTCCACCATGGTTGTGAGGTCTCTCCAGCTATGAGGACCTATGAGTACATTAAACCTATTTTTCTTCGTGGTCTCAGGTATGTCTTTATCAGCAGCATGAAAATGGACTAATACACCTTTCCAGAAGTAGAAGTCTGTACAGCCTGCAGAACAATGAGCTACTTAAACCTCTTTAACTTATAAATTACCCAGTTTCAGGTATTTCTTTATGGCTGTGGATGAACAGACTAATACAGAAAATTGGGGCATTGCCATAAAGAAACCTGATAATGTGGAAGTGACTTTGGAACCAGGTAATGGACAGAGGTTGGAACAGTTTTGAGGACTCAGAAGAAAACAGGAAGATGAAGGAAAATTTGAAACTTCCCAGAGACTTGTTGAATGGTTGTGACCATAATGTTGATAGTAATATAGATGGTGAAGTTCAAGCTGAGGTGGTCTCAAATAGAAATGAGAAACTTATTGGGAACTAATAAAGGTCACTCTTGCTATGCTTTAGCAAAGAGACTGGTGGCATTGTGACCCTGCTCTAGAGATCTGTGACACTTTCAACTTGAGAGAGATGATGTAGGATATATGGCAGAAGAAATTTCTAAGCAGCAAAGCATTGAAGGCATGGTCTGGCTGCTTCTAAAAGCCTATAATCATTTGCATAAGCAAAGAGAGTATCTAAAACTGGAACTTATATTTAAAAGGGAAGCAGAGCATCAAAGTTTGGAAAATTTGCCACCTGGCAATGTGGTAGAAAAGAAAATCTCCTACTGGACCACTGCCTAGTGGAGCTGTGAGAAGAGGGTCACCATCCTCCAGACCCCAGAATGGTAGATCCACAAGCAGCTTACACCATGCACTTGGAAAAGCTACATTTACTAAACATCACCCCATGAAAGCAGCCATGGGAGCTGTATCCTGCAGAGCTACAGAGGCAGAGCTGGCTGAAGTGTTAGTAACCTAGCCTTTGCATAAGTGTGGCCTGAATATGAGACATGTAGTCAAAGGAGATTATTTTGAAGCTTTGAGATTTAAAGACTGCCCTGCTGGATTTTGCACTTTCACTGGGCCTGTAGCCCCTTGGTTTTGGCTGATTTCTCCCTTTTTCAATGGCACTATTTACCCATTTGTGGATAACTAGGATAAATTTGTGGAATGGGACTATATATCCCTATTATGTGTTGGAATTAACTAGTTTTTTATTTTACAGGCTCCTAGGCGAAGGGACTTGCCTTGTCTCAGATGATGCTTTGGACTGAACTTTTCAGCTAATGCTGAAATGAGCTAAAACTCTGAGGACTGTTGAGAAGAGATGGTTGTAGTTTGCAACGTGAGAAGGACGTGAAATTTGGGAGGGGCCAGGGAAGAATGATATGGTTTGACTCTGTCCCTGCCCAAATCACATGTCAAATTATAATACCTAATGTTGGAGGTGGGGCCTTGTGGGAGGTGACTGGGTCATTGAGGTGGTTTCTAATGGTTTAGCACCATCCGCCTAGTGCTGTCTTTTGATAGAGTTCTCCCAAGATCTGCTTCTTTAAACTTGTGTAACACCTCCTTTCTCTCTCTCTTCCTTCTGTTCCCTGCATGTAAGATGTGCTTTCTTCCCCTTTACCTTCCACCATGATTGTAAGTTTCCTAGGCCTCCCCAGAAGCAGAAGCCCGTACAGCCTGCAGAATAATACATTATTTGAACCTCTTTTCTTTATAAATTAATCAGTTTCAGGTATTTGTTTACAACAGTGTGAGAACAGACTACTACACATGTTTATAAATTGAAAGAATTAATATTGTCAAAATGTCCATACTACCCAGAGCTATCTGCAAATTCACTGCAATCCCTATCAAAATACTAATGCCATTCTTCAAATAAATAGAAAAAAAAACTCTCAAATGTGTATGGTTTCTTCAACTTGAAGTATTAAACAAAGAAAAAAAACAGAGATAGGCAAATGTGTATGGCACCACAAAAGACCAAGGTTAGCTAAAACTATTCTAAGCAAAAAGAACAAACTGGAGGAATTATATCACTTGACTTTAAATTATACTACAGAAGTATAGTAATCAAAACAGCATGTTACTGGCATAAAAACAGACACCAACATAGACCAATGGAACAGAATAGAGAACACCAAAATAAGTTCATACATCTACAGTTAACTCATTTTCACCAAAGATGCCAAGAACATACATTGGAAAAAGGACAGTCTCTTCAATAAATGGTTCTGGGAAACTTGATACTCATGTACAGAAGAATGAAATTAGACACCTATCTCTTGCCATATACAAAAATCAAATCAAAATGTATTAAAGACTTTAAAACCTCAAACTATGAAACTACTGAAAGAAAACATTGAGGAAACTCTGCAGGACATTTGTCTCGGCAGTGGTTTCTTGAGGAATACCTCACAATCACTTGCATAAAGTAGAAAAAGCAAAAGTGGAAAAATAGGATCACATCAAGTTAAAAAGCTTCTGCACAGCAAAGGAAAAATCAACAAAGTAAAGAGACAATCCATAGACTGGGAGAAAATATGCAAACCATCCATCTGACAAAAGGTTTATGACAAAAATATATAAGAAGTTCAAACAACTGTATAGGAAAAAATCTAATAATCTGATTTAAAAATGGACAAAAGATCTGAATAGACATTTCTCAAAAGAAGACATACAAATAAGAAGCAGGTGTATGAAAGGTGCTCAACATCATTGATCATCCAAGAAGTACAAATCAAAACTACAACAAGATATTATCTCACCCCAGTTAAAGTGGCTTTTATCCAAAACATAGGCAATAACAAATGCTGGTGAGAACCTGGAGAAAGGGGAACCCTCGTACACTGTTGGTGGGAATGTGAATTAGTAAAGACACTATGGAGAACATTATGGAAGTTCCTCAAAACACTAAAAATAGAAATCCCATGTAATTCAGCAATACAACTACTGGATCTATACTTCAAAGAAAAGAAAACAGTATATGGAAGAGGTATCTGTACACAGAGGTATCTGTACATCTGTGTTTATTGTAGCTCTATTCACAATAGCCAGGATTTGGAATCAACCTAAGTATCCATCAACTGACAAATGGATAAAGAAAAAGTGGTAATTATACACAATGGAGTATTAGCCATAAGAAGAATGAGATCCTGTCATTTGGAACAACATGAATGTAACTGGAGGATATTGTATTAAGTAAAAAAAGCCAGTAACAGAAAGCTAAGCTTTGCATGTTCTCACTAAGTTGTGGGAGCTAAAAATTAAAACAATTGAACTCAGATAGAGAGTAGAATGATGGTAACCAGAGGCTGAGAAGAATAGTGCAGGGGGAAGTCTGGAAATGGGGAAGGTTAATAGGTACAAAAATATAGTTAGATACTATGAGTAAGATCTAATATGTGATAGTACGATAGAGTGACTACATTTAGCAATTATTTTCATTTTTATTTTTATTTTTGAGCCAGAGTTTCATTCTTTCACCGAGGCTGGAGTGAAGTCGCATGATATTGGCTCACTGCTATCTCCACCTCCCGGGTTCAAGTGATTCTCCTGCCTCAGCTTCCCGAGTAGCTGGGAATATAGGTGCTCACCACCATAGCTGGCTAATTTTTTTGTATTTGTAGTAGAAATGGGGTTTTGCCATGTTGACCAGGCTGGTCTCAAACTCCTGACCTCAGGTGACCCACCTGCCTCGGCCTCCCATAGTGCTAGGATTACAGCAATCAGCAATAATTTGTTGTACATTTTATAATAACTGAGGGAATACAATTGAAATATTCGTAGCACAAAGAAATGATGAATGCTTGAGGTGATGAATACCCCATTTACGGTGATATGATTATTACATATTGTATGCCTGTATCAAAATATCTCATGTACTCCGTAAACATAAACACCTATTAAGTACTCATAATTTATTTAATTTTAAAATAAATAAAAAAGAAGCCCAAGAAAAGTAAATAATATTATATTTTCATTTCACCTTCTTTTTTTACAGTTTATGTTACTGATTATTAAATTCTAGGTTGAAAGTGGCTGCTAAATGTTTTGTTTTTGTGTGCTTTTTGAGTAGTTTGCTTGTTTTCTTCTCAGCAAATTAATAATGTTCTCTAGTCTTCTGGCTTCCAGTGTTCTGGAAAAAAGTAAGCCATAATTTGTGTATTTATTCTCTTCTATTTAATGTCTCACTTTTCTGGTTGCTTTTATATACTCTTTTTAATTTTGATTTTTGGCCATTTTGCTATGATATAATTAGGTGTGGTTTCCTTTGTACTTATTCTGTTTGGAAGTCATTATGATTCCTGCTAGTGTGGGTTGATATATTTCATCAAGTCTGAAAAGCTCTTGGTTTTTATCTCTTCAAATATCTTTTCTTCATTATTTTCCCTCCCCTCTCTCTCTGGGATTCTACTTATAAATAAGTTAGGAATTGTAACACAAATCTCTTTTGTTTCACTCTTATTTTTCTTTTTGTTGAAATGCGAATATTTCCTATTGACATATCTTTAGGTACATTTATCCGTTCTTCTGTCCAATTGCCATTAACCCTATAAAATAAATTATTAATTTCTATATTATTATTTACATTTCTAATAATTCCATTTTCTTCTATAGCAGATTCTTCTTTCTTGCACCATTTCACTAGAGGTAAAAGCAGCTGTGTAGTTTCCTCTTATTAAATACTCATCACTGAAAGAGCATAATTCTTTTCAGTTTGAGATCTCTGATGGGTTTATAAAACTAGATTTTGTAGGTTACATAGATTGTTTGGGTTATTAGGATAAGACTTTTTACACTTTCCACATTTAAACTAAAAACAAAAGTGTTATTTAGTTTTTTTAAATATAAAGACTATAGAACTATGATATGTATTACTATGACTTCATTTTTAATTCAACCAATAATTAGACCAGTGGTCCTATCAAGAATCTAAAGATTTATGCTCTGGAACTTGCACCCCCAGGATCTAGAGGCTCATGCTCTGCAATTGGCACTGCAATGGATTACCTGTGAGGCTTGTGGGACTATATTTTAATCCTACAGTTTCTCTATATGTAAATGTATTAGAGTGGTTGTCCCTGGAAAAAGACAGAAAGAACAGCATTCAAATATAAATTTAAGAGACTTCATCTTTATTTAAGGCTCAATTCCCTTGAAAAATAAAAAAGAAATATGAGACCACTATGGCAGAATGTTAACAGTGATTAATTTTGGAAAGCCAATATCATACTAGCCTTTGTAATTTTCCATGGTTTTTGTAAATTTTTCAAAATTAAAAAATGTATACTAATAATATAAACACATCACCCTAACTGATGGAGCAACAAATGACACAAAGGTAAAATGACTAAAGATCAGCCAGAATAAGATGTCTAATAATGCAAAGCTTATAAAGATTTCAAGGAAATTGTTAATGGCCTGATGTTCCACAAACTGTCAGGTCTTCCACTTGTCATTTGATATGAAAGTTGGCATATATGGAGGAGTGGAGCCAAGATGGCCAAATAGGAACAACTCCAGTATACAGCTCCCAGAGTGAGTAATGCAGAAGATGGGTGATTTCTGCATTTCCAAATGAGGTACCGGGTGTATCTCACTGGGGAGTGTTGGACAGTGGGTGCAGGACAGTGGATGCAGAGCACTGAGCATGAGCTGAAGCAGGGCGAGGCATCACTTCACCCGGGAAGCACAAAGGATCAGGCAATTCCCTTTCCCAATCAAAGAAAGGGGTGACAGATGGCACCTGAAAAATCGGGTCACTCCCACCCTAATACTGCACTCTTCCAACAGTCTTAGCAAATGGCACACCAGGAGATTATATCCCACGCATGGCTCGGAGGGTCCTACACCCACAGAGACTCACTCATTACTAGCACAGCAGTGTGAGATCAAACTGCAAGGCAGCAGCGAGGGTGGGGGAGAGGTGCCTGCCATTGCCGAGGCTTGAGTAAGTAAACAAAGCAGCCAGGAAGCTCGAACTGGGTGGAGCCCACTGCAGCTCAAGAAGGCCTGACTGCCTTTGGAGAGTCCACCTCTGGGGGCAGGGCATAGCCAAACAAAAGGCAGCAGAAACCTCTGCAGACTTAAATGTCCCTGTCTGACAGCTTTGAAGAAAGTAGTGGTTCTCCCAGCATGCAGCTAGAGATCTGAGAACAGACAGACTGCCTCCTCAAGTGGGTCCCTGACCCCCAAGTAGCCTAACTGGATGGCACCCCCCAGTAGGGGCAGACTGACACCTCACAGGGCTGGGTACTCCTCTGAAATGAAACTTCCAGAGGAACAATCAGGCAGCAACATTTGCTGTTCACAAATATCTGCTCTTCTGCAGCCTCTGCTGCTGATACCCAGGCAAACAAGCTCTGGAGTAGACCTCCAGAAAACTCCAACAGACTTGCAGCTGAGGGTCCTGACTGTTAGAAGCAAAACTAACAAACAAAAAGGACATCCACACCAAAATCCCATATGTTCATCACCATCATCAAAGACCAAAGGTAGATAAAACCACAAAGATGGGGGAAAAAAAGAGCAGAAAAACTGGAAACTCTAAAAATCACAGCACCTCTCCTCCTCCAAAGGAACACAGCTCCTCACCTGCAATGGAACAAAGCTGGATGGAGAATGACTTTGATGAGTTGAGAGAAGAAGGCTTCAGATGATCAAACTACTCTGAGCTAAAGGAAGAAGTATGAACCCATGGCAAAGAAGTTAAAAACCTTGAAAAAAGATTAGAGAAATGGTTAACTAGAATAACCAATGTAGAGAAGTCTTAAAGGACCTGATGGAGCAGTAAACCATGGCACGAGAACTACGTGATGAATGCATAAGCCTCAGTAGCTGATTCGGTCAACTGGAAGAAAGGGTATCGGTGATCGAAGATGAAATGAATGAAATGAAGCGAGAAGAGAAGTTTAGAGAAAAAAGAATAAAAAGAAATGAACAGAGCCTCCAGGAAATATGGGACTATGTGAAAAGACCAAATCTATGTCTGATCGGTGTACCTGAAAGTGACGGAGAGAATGGAACCAAGTTGGACAACACTCTACAGGATATTATCCAAGAGAACTTCCCCAACCTAGCAAGGCAGGCCAACATTCAAATTCAGGAAATACAGAGAATGCCACAAAGATACGCCTCCAGAAGAGCAACTCCAAGACACATAATTGTCAGATTCACCAAAGTTGAAATGAAGGAAAAAGTGTTAAGGGAAGCCAGAGAGAAAGGTTGGGTTACCCACAAAGGAAAGCCCATCAGACTAAAAGCTGATTTCTTGGCAGAAACTCTAAAAGCCAGAAGAGACTGAGGGCCAATATTCAACATTCTTAAGGAAAAGAATTTTCAACCCAGAATTTCATATCCAGCCAAACTAAGCTTCAGAACTGAAGGAGAAATAAAATACTTTACAGACAAGCCAATGCTGAGAGATTTTGTCAACACCAAGCCTGCCTTAAAAGAGCTCCTGAAGGAAGCACTAAACATTGAAAGGAATGACCAGTACTAGCCACTGCAAAAACATGCCAAATTGTAAAGACCATTGAGGCTAGGAAGAAACTGCATCAACTAATGAGGAAAATAACCAGCTAACATCATAATGACAGGATCAAATTCACACATAACAATATTAACCTTAAATGTAAATGGGCTAAATGCTCCAACTAAAAGACACAGACTGGCAAATTGGATAAACAGTCAAGACCCATTAGTGTGCTGTATTCAGGAGACCCATCTCACGTGCAGAGTCACACATAGGCTCAAAATAATGGGATAGCGGAAGAACTACCATGCAAATGGAAAACAAAAAAAGGCAGGGGTGGCAATCCTAGTCTCTGATAAAACAGACTTTAAACCAACAAAGATCAAAAGAGACAAAGAAGGCCATTACATAATGGTAAAGGGATCAATTCAACAAGAAGAGTTAACTATCCTAAATATATATGCACCCAATACAAGAGCCCCCAGATTCATAAAGCAAGTCCTTACAGACATAGAAAGAGACTTAGGCTCCCACACAATAATAATGGGAGACTTTAACACCCTACTGTCAACATTAGGCAGATCCACGAGGCAGAAAGTTAACAAGGATATCCAGGAACTGAACTCAGCTGTGCACCAAGCAGACCTAATAGACATCTACAGAGCTTTCCACCCCAAATCAACAGAATATACATTATTTTCAGCATCACACCACACCTATTCCAAAACTGACCACATGGTTGGAAGTAAAGCACTCCTCAGCAAATGTAAAACAACAGATATTATAACAAACAGTCTCTCAGACCACAGTGCAATCAAACTAGAACTCAGGATTGAGAAACTCACTCAAAACCACTAAACTACATGGAAACTGAACAACCTGCTCCTGAATGACTACTGGGTACATAACAAAATGAAGGCAGAAATAAAGATGTTCTTTGAAATCAATGAGAACAAAGACACAACATACCAGAATCTCTAGGACACATTCAAAGGAGTATGTAGAGGGAAATTTATAGCACTAAATGCCCACAAGAGAAAGCAGAAAAGATCTAAAATTGACACCCTAACATCACAATTAAAAGAACTAGAGAAGCAAGAGCAAACACATTCAAAAGCTAGCAGAAGGCAAGAAAGTACTAAGATTAAAGCAGAACTGAAGGAAATAGAGACATAAAAAACCCTTCAAAAAATCAGTGAATCCAGGAGCTGGTTTTTTTTAAAAGATCAACAAAATAGATAGACCACTAGCAAGACTAATAAAGAAGAAAAGAGAGAAGAATCAAATAGATGAAATAAAAAATGATAAAGGGGATATCACCAATGATCCCACAGAAATACAAACTACCATCACAGAATACTATAGACACCTCTATGCAAATAAACTAGAAAATCTGGAAGAAATGGACGAATTCCTCAACACACACACTCTCCCAAGACTAAACCAGGAAGCTGAATCTCTGAATAGACCAATAACAGGCTCTGAAATTGAAGCAATAATTAATAGCTTACCAACCAAAAAGAGTCCAGGACCAGATGGATTCACAGCCGAATTCTAGCAGAGGTACAAGAAGGAGCTGGTACCATTCCTTCTGAAACTATTTCAATCAATAAAAAAGAGGGAATCCTCCCTAACTCATTTTATGAGGCCAGCAACATCCTGATATCAAAGCCTTGCAGAGACACAACAAAAAACGAGAATTTTACACCAATATCCCTGAAGAACATCAATGCAAAAATCCTCAGTAAAATACCAGCAAACCGAATCCAGCAGCACATCAAAAAGCTTATCCACCATGATCAAGTGGGCTTCATCCCTGGGATGCAAGGCTGGTTCAACATACACAAATCAATAAACATAATCCAGCATATAAACAGAACCAATGACAAAAACCACATGATTATCTCAAGAGATGCAGAAAACGCCTTTGACAAAATTCAACAACTCTTCATGCTAAAAACTCCCAATAAATTAGGTATTCATGGGAAATATCTCAAAATGATAAGAGCTTTTGATGACAAACCCACAGCCAATATCATACTGAATGGGCAAAAACTGGAAGCATTCCCTTTGAAAACTGGCACAAGACAGGGATGCCCTCTCTCACCACTCGTATTCAACATACTGTTGGAAGTTCTGTCCAGGGCAATCAGGCAGGAGAAAGAAAGAAAGGGTATTCAATTAGGAAAAGAGGAAGTCAAATTGTCCCTGTTTGCAGATGACATGATTGTATATTTAGAAAACCCCATCGTCTCAGCCCAAAATCTCCTTAAACTGATAAGCAACTTCAGCAAAGTCTCAGGATACAAAATCAGTGTGCAAAAATCACAAGCATTCTTATACACCAATAACAGACAAACAGAGAGCCAAATCATGAGTGAACTCCCATTCACAATTGCTTCAAAGAGAATAAAATACCTAGGAATCCAACTTACAAGGGATGTGAAGGACCTATTCAAGAACTACAAGCCACTGCTCAATGAAATAAAAGAGGATACAAACAAATGGAAGAACATTCCATGCTCGTGGGTAGGAAGAATCAATATCGTGAAAATGGCCATACTGCCCAAGGTTCAATAGATTCAATGCCATCCCCATCCAGTTACCAATGACTTTCTTCATAGAATTGGAAAAAACTACTTTAAAGTTCATATGGAACCAAAAAAGAGCCTGCACTGCCAAGTCAATCCTAAGCCAAAAGCAAAAAACTGGAGGCATCTCGCTACCTGACTTCAAACTATACTACAAGGCTAAAGTAACCAAAACAGCATGGTACTGGTACCAAAACAGAGATATAGACCAATGGAACAGAACAGAGCCCTCAGAAATAACACCACACATCTACAACCATCTGATCTTTGACAAACCTGACAAAAACAAGAAATGGAGAAAGGATTCCCTATTTAATAAATGGTGCTGGGAAAACTGGCTAGCCATATGTAGAAAGCTGAAACTAGATCCCTTCCTTACACCTTATACAAAAATTAATTCAAGATGGATTAAAGACTTATATGTTAGACCTAAAACCATAAAAACCTAGAAGAAAACCTGGGCAATACCATTCAGGACATAGGCATGGGCAAGGACTTCATGTCTAAAACACCAAAAGCAATGGCAATGAAAACCAGAATTGACAAATGGGATCTAATTAAACTAAAGAGCTTCTGCACAGCAAAATAAACTACCATCAGAGTGAACAGGCAACCTACAGATTGGGAGAAAATTTTTGCAATCGGCTCATCTGACAAAGGGCTAATATCCAGAATCTACAATGAACTCAAACAAATTTACAGGAAAAATAAAATCCCATCAAAAAGTGAGTGAAGGATATGAACAGACACTTCTCAAGAGAAGACATTTATGCAGCCAAAAGACACGTGAAATAACGCTCATCATCACTGGCCATCAGAGAAATGCAAATCCAAACCACAATGAGATACCATCTCACACCAGTTAGAATGGCAATCATTAAAAAGTCAGGAAACAACAGGTGCTGGAGAGGATGTGGAGAAATAGGAACTCTTTTACACTGCTGGTGGGACTGTAAACTAGTTCAACCATTGTGGAAGTCAGTGTGGCAATTCCTCAGGGATCTAGACCTAGAAATACCATTTGACCCAGCCATCCCATTACTGGGTATATACCCAAAGGATTATAAAACACGCTGCTATAAAGACACATGCACATATATGTTTATTGTGGCACTATTCACAATAGCAAAGACTTGGAACCAACCCAAATGTCCAACAATGATAGACTGGATTAAGAAAATGTGGCACATATACACCATGGAATACTACGTAGCCATAAAAAATGATGAGCTCATGTCCTTTGTAGGGACATGGATGAAGCTGGAAACCATCATTCTCAGCAAACTATCACAAGGACAAAAAACCAAACACCGCATGTTCTTACTCATAGGTGGGAGTTGAACAATGAGAACACATGGACACAGGAAGGGGAACATCACCCACTGGGGCCTGTTGTGGGGTGGTGGGAGGGCGGAAGGATAGCATTAGGAGATATACCTAATGTTAAATGACGAGTTAATTGGTATAGCACACCAACATGCCACATGTGCACATATGTAACAAACCTGCACGTTGTGCACATGTACCCTAAAACTTTAAGTATAATTAAAAAAAAAGGAAAGTTGGCATATCTAACTACAAAAGTCCCAGAAAAATGAAAAAAGAAAAAGTCTTCTTTTTGAATTATTAAAGGTCTGTGGAATCCCAAAGTCTCCCTAAAAAAGGGCACATATGTGGGTATGTGTATAAGCACAGTGTCTTGTGTCAGTTTGTCATCCTCCAAATTCACATAAAAATACAAGAATTTAAGCAATGCAACAAAAACATAGGGCCCAGAAAAATAGCAAGAGGAGCTATAATATTTAGCAGTCACACAGAAGCACAAAATACTGACACTTCGTAAGGCTTAGAGTGTTCTCGTTCATCACATTCATTTTAAAGAAGAAACTAAGATCTAGAGAGCCAATATCACTAATGTGTCCCCACCGAAATCTCATCCTAATTTTAATCCCCATAATCCCCATGTGTGGAGGGTAGGACCTGGTGTGAGGTGATTGGATTGTGGGGGCAGTTTCCTATTCTCATGATAGTGAGTGAGTTCTCATGAGATCTGATGGTTTTTATATGGGGCTCTTCCCCCTTTGCTCCTCACTCTTCTCTCACCTGCCACCATGTAAGATGTGCTGGCTTACCATTCTACCATGATTGTAAGTTTCCTAAGGCCTCCCCAGCCGTATAGAACTGTGAGTCAATTAAACCTCTTTTCCTTATAAATTACCCAGTCTCAGGTAGTATTCTTTACAACAGTGTGAAAACGGACTAATACATCACACTAGAAATATTTTAAATAAATAGAAAGTCTATTTAAGAAATTTACTTAGGAAAATGAAATGTATGCATTTAAAATCTATGTATTTAAAATCTATTTATTCAAGAAATCTATTTTCTCAATCTATTGCTCTCTGCAACCATTCCACAAACTTTGAAACAATTCCTATTAGAAATTTCAGGTAGAAATGCCTTCTGCACCACTATCACCCTACTATGTTCTGTCAGTAACCAAATTTATCAGTTCTTTAATTCAAAATCAAGTTTTCCACCTTCAAGATATATTTATATATTTTAATTGTCAAAAATATGAGTAGAGCTAGTAAAAGTACATAAAATCTACTCTGTGAAGTCTGAAATCAAAGTCATTATTCAATTTTTTCTGCTTGTAATAATCATAACTTATTAATCAACATAGGAAATATAAAAGGTACTGCATTACACTATCTAGGAAATCTGGACTCAGTCCCACTAAGCATTTTAGACATTTCATCTCTAAATTTTAAAATGTTTTTCAATTTTGTCCTTTTTTTTTTTTTTTTCCAGACAGTCTTGCTCTGTCGTCAGGCTGGAGTGCAAGGGTGTGATCTCGGCTCACTGCAACCTCCGCCTCCCAGGTTCAAGCAATTCTCCTTCCTCAACCTCCCAAGTAGCTGGGACTACAGGCACACACCACCATGCCCAGCCAATGTTTGTATTTTTAGTAGAGATGGGGTTTCACCATGTTGGTCAGGATGGTCCCAATCTCTTGACCTAGTGATCTGCCAGCCTTGACCTCCCAAAGTGCTGGGATTACAGGCATGAGCCACTGCACCCGGGCCCACTTTTGTCCTTTCTGAAACAATCCTCTTGTCACCAGTCTCCAGTGTTTAGTCCTTTCATTTTATTTTTATGCTGCATCCAGTCTTATTGCCCTTGGGCATAGCTTAGATCTTCTACTACTTCATTTTTCACAGGCATTCACCATCATCTGGGTACCTGCACACACACACACATGCACACACATACACACACACACGTACACATGCTTTAACTTAACTTGGCATATAAGAATCTCCACCAGATAAAATTTAGAATCAGTTTTATTGTTTTATCAGAAATGGAGTGGGGACATTAAGAGCAAAAAAAGTGCTAGTTTAAGACTAGCCTTCAATTTGAGAACTACCTGGAACAGGAAAATGATACTGTGAGGGATATTGTTTAAGTTCCCAACAGTAAAGAATAGAATAGAGCGGTGAGTATATAGAACACAGCACTATAACTAGGAAGTAATATCAGGGAAGAATGGTTCAATGGTGTGTCTGAAATCCTCACCCTGTCTGTGCTTTAAAAACACAGTCATCAATCATTTTGTCACTTTTTGAGTAGAATAACTTTTCTTCCTATGGTTTGAGACACTGTCCACTTATTATTTAGTCATCACAGAAGGACATAAGCCAGCAAACTCTACTTTTCTAGAAATAGCAAGTGATCACTGCATACCTCATGAAGTACAAGAAAAGATCAAATTGCACGTATTTTTGAGTAAGTGTAATTAATATGCCAAATGAACAGGCAACTGTTGTCAGAGGAAATAGGATATCCTCATCAGCCATTGACCATTTCTTATATGCACCCAATTTAAGGAGAGTAGGTGGAGGCAGTCCCACTCAAGCCACAGGAAATGAGTTTGCTAATGGAAAGAGGTTTCATACCGTAAAAAGAGGAAAAAGAAAATAAATCGTTCTAGACACTATACCAACTAGTCTGTTACTAAGCATAAAAGAAAAAAGACAATTTAATAAGAGATCCACATTCTTACAAATCTGTTAGCGTAATCTAATGAGTAATTTTTAAATTTACAGAATCAGGTGGAACCATTTTGTTAAGTACAAATTGTACAAATATCAGACATTATATATTCACTAAAATATTTTTGGTTTTGTGTTCTTGGCTATCTTTTCCTTTCTAGGTAGTAACTAACTAGTACGAGTACTCTAATAATTTGTGTTACACACTCTCCAAACTATTCCAGGTATCATATAGCTTCTCTTTATTAGGCAACCTTAAAACATAAATGTGTGGTTTTCTTCCTCCCTTCACTGAAGATGACAATAACATTCACTGAGCACTTATGATGTGCCAGGCACTGTTTGAAGTACAGTATATGTTTTTTTTTTTTTTTTTTTTTCTTTTTTTTTTGGGACGGAGTTTTGCTGTTTTGCTCTGTAGCCCAGGCTGGAGTGCAGTGGCGCGATCTCGACTCACTGCAAGCTCTGCCTCCCGGGTTCACGCCATTCTCCTGCCTCAGCCTCCCGTGTAGCTGGGACTACAGGCACGCGCCACCATGCCCGGCTAATTTTTGTATTTTTAGTAGAGACGGGGTTTCACCGTGTTAGCCAGGATGGTCTCGATCTCCTGACCTCGTGATCCACCCGTCTCGGCCTCCCAAAGTGCTGGGATTACAGGCGTGAGCCACTGCGCCTGGCCGAAGTACAGTATATGTTTAAAATCATTTAAATCTTACCTCCTAATGCAAAGAAGAATTTGACATAAATTAGAGTAATGATTTGGTCAATTTGGCATTAAAATGCAAAATTGGCTCTCACATCACAATGCTGCTTAAATTAAACTAACAGATTTTTTAACGAGGCTTTTCCCCCCACAAACTCTCATTTGCATGTGTGAAGTCTCACTGTGAGGCTGCATAAGGCAGAATTAAAAATAGATTTAGCGTGTATTGTATCTCAACAACACAAGAAAGACTTACATGAACTCCCCAGGTGCATGATACCCTGTAGTTATTTAAGGAACAGAACTAAATTTGTGTATTCAGCTATTATACCCCTTGTCTGGTCAATCTACAGGGCTCAAGAATAGGTCATCTTATTATTGTGGTGTGTGCACAGAGTTTGCCCACTTTAAGATGGTGACAAGTCAGATTTTGAAAGTGCAACAGAAAGCAGAATGCTTAATGTATCAATTTAATATATAAATAATCTACAACTGAAACAAAGTGAAAAGACATTTGTAATAATGACAAGATACAAATGCATAACATGAAAGTAGATGATGGACTCATTTCATGGTTACAGAAAATATAGATACTCTTATCATTATTTTCCATATCAAATGAATTGAGCAACCAAAGTAATTCTCGTAATAAAATTGCTTCCATCTGGACAAAGACTGAAAGTATTTCTATGCCTGAAGAGCCAATGATTACATTGTTATTCGAATGAGTGGGAGTTCCTGGTCTGATAAGTACTTATGAAAATGTATTCGGAGAAGCCCCTATAAATAAAAAAAGGCAGTTAGCATTTTTTGAAGCTATGTCTAAATTCACAATATGCTTATTTGAAAAATTTAAAGAGAAATCAATACGAAAAACCCAATAAGTATGTTGACCATGTTTTCTAAAACTAACAATTCAGAGATCTACAATAACTAAGGACTTTGACTTTCATTTGTGATTATTGTAAATGGGAAGTCATGAGTGTTCAGTATATCAAAATTATCTTTTTTGTAAATATACTCATATTAAATTAGAGCTATATCACACCAACTATATCTAGGATCCCTCCACTAAAGCAGTTTTTAAAAATTCTTTTGGAAATGATTGTCAGTTTCTTCTATAGCTTTCTCAAGCAAAGCCATACTTTGGAGAAGATTTCCACTTCTGAGCATCTGGAGGTAGCAGGGACTGGGTTCACCAAATGGTGCTGGAATACTTTAACATCCAAATGCAAATAATAAACCCCAAATTTTACCACACACCATATAAAATATTAGCTAAAAGCAGATGGATCGTAAACCTAAATGAAAACCTAAAACTATAAAATTTCTAGAAGATAGCAGAACAAAATTTTTGTAACCTTAGGTTAGCAAAGATATGTTAGGTAGGACACAAAAAGCACTAATCATAAACTAAAATATTGATGAAATATCAAAATGAATCTTTTTGTGTCTTTCAAAGACACTGTTAAGAAAATAAAAGGCAAGCCACATACTAGGAAAAATATATACATAACATATATCTGGTATACAGAAAATATAAAGAACTTCTAATGATAACACAAATTACTCAATAGAACATAAATAAAATATTTAAATAAAAAATTTCAAATATATAGTAAATAAGTGGACAAAAATATGTTCAATATCATTAGTCAATAAAAAAATGCATAATACAAGATACCACTACACGCCCATTAGAATGGTAAAAATTTGAAAAGACTGACAAGTGCCAATGAAGATATAGAGCAACTGGAACTCACATGCATTGCAAGAAAATGTGAAATGGTATATCAACTTGAAAAACAGGGTAACACTTTCTTATCAAATTAAACCAACATTTATCATAAAACCCACTAATGTCACTCTTAGTCATTTGCCAGAAAAAGAAACCATATGTCCCTACAAAGACTTGTCCCTGAGGGCTGTTTATGGCAGCTTTATTCATTATTGATAAAAACTGGAACAACCTACATGTCCATCAACCAGAGAATGGTTAAACTCAGCAATAAAAAGGAACGTATTAATGATATACACAAGAACATGGACAGATTCAAAATCATCAAGCTAAATGAAAGAAGCCACACAGTAAATGACATTCTTAAAAAAATAGCAAATTATAATGACAGAAAGCACAGTGGTTACTGGAAGCTGGAAGTAACGAGTGGGGATTTATTGCAAAGGGGTGCAAGAAGTTTTGGAAGTGATGAAAATAGTTTAATATCATAATTACACAGTGATTCAAACCTCATCAATTTGTACACTTAAAATTGGTCAATTTTATGATATAGAGGTTACAACTCACTAAAGCTTATTTTTAATAAATAAGTAGGCAAACACATGTAAGTATTGACATAAAAGTATTGAGGATATGGAACAGTATTTACTTAATGTATACTTTAAGCTGCCTAAGTATAACCAAATCTACTTCTCACTGTGGTCAAATGGCCAGTCAGAGGGCTACTGAGTATGAAGCCTAGAATAAAGGCTGCACAGGAGGCTCTGGGCCATGTATTTAGGGGAATGCAATAAAGTATTAAGCCTTGGTGCTGGAGTGGTATAGGAGAGAGAGAGAGCTGGCAAATGTAACATTTCTGTAGAAAACTATGTCCATCTGCCAAGAAAAACTAAACAGCAGCAGCACCAGCTGTTCTTGTTGCGCCACAGATTGCAAGCCATGTTTCCCAAATTAACATCTCACCAACGCTTCCCCATCGAGTTTACACAAGACAGGAACTAAGTCAAGATAGGATCCAGGAAGAAAAATAAAGTAACAAGGAAGCCTGATTACAAATTAAGAAGCAAACAGCAAGCCTCTGTGTATATGAAGGGCAAGTTACATGATCTACAGAGAAATTAGTGTAAGATCAATTTACAGAGGCAGGTAGGGAGGGGGGAGCTGGTGTTTGTGAAGTGAAAGTCAGGTAGTAAGACTACAGTCTAGTCCTTTGCCTCCCTATTTCAGAAATGAGTGGGAGAAATGAAGACTAAATCAGCAGAGCATGCATGATTAGGACTGTTCATGTGCCAAGTAACAAACTCAATGCATTACTTCCCATTAGACAGATGCTCAAAAGTTACAGATGAAATGAGTTATGCCACCAGTATATATTGCCTTAAACATTGAGATGACAATTCTTTCCATCTTGCTAAGGAAAGTACCTTCTAATCATATGTTAAAAGGAGTCTCATTTATTCTGTTTTGAGAAGTGTACCCCAATTGCACACTACTCTGGTTACTGGAGCAAAACTGCTTCCGTGTAGCTAGTGGCTGCTCTAACAGGGCCAGCATATTTCCATGTAATCTGCCAAAGATGTGAAGTGACCCCCTTTCACATGGTAAATTTCCTGAAGTCACTTTCTCTTCTTGTTCTTCCCTTCTTTTCCCTCTTTTTCTCCAATTTCCATCTCCTTCTCCAAAAACCAGGTTGTGTTTCCACTAGACACACGGAGCAGGTTGAAATAATGCCTGTTGTGTCATAGATGGCAATGCAATGGAGGAGCATCCTCTTATTAGAAACTGTGTCCATTCAGTATCCTCTAAATTAATCCAATTCTGAGCACAAAACAGGGTAGAGACAAGTGTACATTATTATATGTCATATCATTTGGTGTCAAGGAGCGGGGTAAAATGGAGGAAGTTTAACTAATATAGTAATTTTAATGTGACTATGAAAATGTAAGGCATTTATTCATGCTCCCATAGTGTGTTTTCTGAAAGCTATTTGGGAAAAAGAAAAAGTTTTTAGAACTTAGTTTACTCAATCTATGTTTAGTAAAACAAATCAGAAATACTTATGCTTTTATTTTGCCCAGTGTGCAAAGGTGAATATTTCATTTGCTTATGTAAGGAAAAATGAAAATTACTAAAATGCATAAAAGAATTATCTAAATTATGGCTAAGCATATTTTAAACAACATACATATTTTACTTTCTCTGAAACAAAAAAAAATTAATTTATAATTTAAATGTATTTTTTCATTTCTTGTTTGCAGGAAAACCAACATAAACAACACACTTCAGTTTAAAGGAGAAAATGGATACTTTATCAGTCAATAAATAACATGTGTATTTGTCAAGGGCCCTTTTCCTATTTTTACTAAGTTATTACAGCTTAAGGGTCACCATCCATGGGCCTTAATTTTCTCAACTGCATTCTAAAAGTACAACATGAATGATCCTGATAAGTATAACCACCTCTTACAAAGTAACTATTTCTGTCTTTAAAAATAGAAAATAATTTATTTATAAATAAATATTCTATAACTACTGCTAGAAATAAAACTAAGAGATATACATAATGTTGTTATTCAGAAGTATTTTTTCCTGTCACTCTGAAGGCATTAATTTCATTGGTTTTATGATATCTGCAATCTTATGGGTTTCAAAATGTTCATATATTCTGCTGTTAAGGCAAATACTAAATGACATTTGCAATTATTCACACCCAAAATAAATTTTGCTTGAGTCATGATAAAAGAAATCTTTCAAAAATTAACTGAAGGGAAAAAAAAATAAATCCCCTCTCTTCAAATCATAGTAAAATATAGGTTCCGGGTAGGTACATTACTGTTATAGTTAATAGAGTGAAATTGCTCAGAGTTTGATCTGTAAGATTAGGGCAATCAGAATTTAAATTCTTCTCTACTGCTTCCCAGTAATATAATCTTGAAGTTACTCAAAG